>NC_000004.12:84072896-84224411 GCF_000001405.40 Homo sapiens | reverse complement strand
GTATCAGATTTTCCTCTTCTTTGTTGTGTAGGTTTTTCTTGTAGGAACAATCTGAACAATGAGGGATATGGAAGTAAAGAGAATAAAATCATCTGGTGATTATGATGGCCAAAATGCAGGAAATCATGTTTGTAGGAAGTAGCTGACATCATGTGAGCTGGATAGAACTTGTGTCCATCCGGAGGTAAAGGAGGCATCAGAAAAAAACCACACTTTGTGTCAAAGGTATTTAGCGGTCTCGTTTTGCCTTTAGCTTATAAGGAGAGAAAGTAGGGGCAGCGAAGTCTATCACACATACATACAAAACTCCAAGTATCCTTATTTTACATAGGAAGAACAAGGGTGAAACTGTGAGATTGTCAGTACTAGACATCATGCAAATTAACAGCAAGGCCCAAATATTCTTGACTTGATATTGATTCTCCCTGAGATGTTTGTTCCTTTCTGAAACCAGTAATTTCCTATCCTTGGAAACTCTTCCTGTCCTTGCACCATAGAAATTCACCTCGCCTTTAAAGAGGAAGTAAACCTCTCTGAGCAGAATGCCATTAAATACTGAACTATGTGTAAAGTGCATTACAGCAAATCTCTTTTGGAGGTATCATGGCATGGAGGATTATTCTATATGTCCCTGAACAATTAAGTTACACCTCCTACTGGGAACATAAACTACAGTGACAGATTTTTAAGTTTTGCAGGCATAGAATTAATTTTTGAACACTTGTCATAAGGGAGAAAGCATATATTGTGAAGACCTGGCTTATTCTGCATTAGAAACAAACAGATTCTGCTTTCATGAGTCAAGAGAAACAAAGACAAAAATAAACTAGCAACCATAGTAACTCTTTTGTGAATCACTCTTGTAATTATATGTGTTAATTACTAGCTCATTTTTTTTCTTTGCCATGGTCTTTGGCTCCTTGCCTCATCCGAACTTCAAGCCTCAAATGGACTTTTAGCAATATGGTGACTCTGATTTTGGTATAAGGACACTGATGTGTATTGCTAGGGTGGTGGGGTGGAAGTGATGGCAGTGTAGGTATGGATGGGTGATATGGTTAGGCTTTGTGTCCCCATCTAAATCTCATCTTTAATTATAATCTCCATAATTCCCATAATTTCCATGTGTCAAGGGAGAGGCCAGGTGGAGGAAATGGAATCATGGGGATAGTTTCCCCCATGCTGTTCTCGTGATAGTGAGTGAGTTCTCACAAGATCTGATGATTTTATAAGAGGCTCTTCCCCTTTTGCTCAGCACTCCTCTTTCCTGCCACCTGTGAAGAAGGTGCCTTGCTTCCTCTTCACCTTCCGCTATGATTGTAAGTTTCCTGAGGCCTCCCCAGCCATGCGAATCTGTGAATCAATTAAACCTCTTTCCTTTAATTACCCAGTCTTGGGCAGTTCTTTATAAAAGTGTGAAAACAGACTAATACAATGGGGGAAATTCTGGGGTAGATGGGATCACTGGTAGCATGGACAGGAAGACCAGGTGTGGCCAAGAACCTCCCATTATTCAAAATCAGTGGTCTTTGACATATTTTCCAATTGAGGAATATCAATAAAATATTTTAATAGTGCTCTGGCTTTGTTCAGCATTCTGAATTTAGGTTAGTGATTTTCCTAGAGCTTGTCTGATACTGAAGTTCTTAGAGATTTTGTTTCTTCCTTTAGCGATTACTGGGCGTTCTGAGGAATAACCACTATGATGGGCAACTTGGGAGCTGTGTGTCTCTTTTCCTCAGGAGGAAGGAGTGAGTATCAGGGGGATCAGTCCCTGTGATTCTTGGTCACTACCGTTCTCAGGTTTAGAAGAGCTCCAGTTTAGTCAAATGTTTGCCCAGGTGCAGCCTCACTGGATGAGATACAACTCCTCAAATTAACTTCAGGAGAGTCCTCCTGTCCTTTACATATCTTCCTGCAACCCACTGATGCTCGAATCCTTGTAACTGGAGATTTATTCTCTAGTCACTTTTGTCTTAGGCTAAAATGCATATTTCTTGGAGTGTTTTCACCTGTAGCCTCATCAGTTCTTTGTGCCTAGATATGAATGACTTTTTGGACACATCCCTGAATTTTATCAGGGGGATGTGTGATTTCGTAAGTATCCTGGAAGCCTTTTAAAAACAGGAAATACCTTTAGGAAGGGGAACAAGCAGTGGGCCAGGAAAGAAAAGGTGCTAAGACTGAACAGGCAATTTTAAAGCCTGCTCTCCAGTTCTTATGATTTTTAACTCCAATCCAATAACTTCTGAGGGCCTATTGACAAATCAGTCTGGAGGAACATTTTGACCACAATCAGTCAAAATCCTTGACGACTTCTGAATTGGTTATGACTTTCTTTCTTTACGAAATCTGCATCCTGGCCTAATTACACTGGCAGGTGACTCAAATACAGTGTGACCAGAAAGAAAAGCAAATAAAATAAAATCCCTGCCCCTTCTGACTTCTCTCCTTAGGCCCCTGCAGTCCCCTCTGGGCTGCTCTCTGCCACATCCTCTCACAGGCACTTAACAGTCATCTCACTCCACACCATTTCAATAGGACTTATCAAGTTAGGAACCCACTTCCCTCTGCATTTCACAGCTGGCTCTCCTTTTCAGCTTGATGTTGCAGGGATTTAATTCTGAGCAGGATTTAAATAAAATCAGAATCTGTCTGTGCCAGAGGAGACGTGTTTGCACAGAAATGGAATTCGTCAGTTGGGTCAGTTGCTAGTTAGTCCCATTTCCTTCTCTTGTTGGGATCCAGGGAGATGATATGCTAGCCCGCTCCCCCAACCATTCGTGAACTCTCCAGGGTGAGAAGTTGGGGGACAGTGTCACTGGTGGCAGGGAGAAGCAAAGCTTCTCTTTCCCCACAGAATTGGGTCACTAACATGAATACTTTTGGCCTTAAGACATTTCTAAGACATTTCTACTTTTCAGGCAAAAAGAAGTGTTTCGGGGTTACCTTAAAAATTAACGATAGCACCAGTCTTAGTCAGGGCACATTTGTTGGCAAGGAAGCAAGCCCCACCCAAAAAAGCTCAAGCGAAGGGGGGTTTTATTAAAAGAATAGTGGGAACAGTACATTGTAGAAAATGAAGGTAGGGCTCAGGAAAGGTGGAAATCATCAGGCAGTCACTCGCTAGCTCTCTTACTCTACTTTTCTATGCAGTGTTGTTTCCAATTTCGTCTCTGCAAACTTGCTTCTTTGCAGGTTCCTAATTTCAGTTCCCCATAATTTTGTCTTATGCATAACCTTAGCTTTTCTTGCTGTACACTCTGGGTCACTCTGACTCTGTCCTTAGCACAGTATCTGGCTCGGTCAGGTAATTAGTATTTACTGTATGGCCCTATCGTACAACTTGAGCTAGGACCAATTTCTCCCACTGCTAAAAAGGGAGAGAATCTCTCAGACCGCTTAAGTTTCTCTTGGTAGGAAGAAGGGAGTCAGCAAAGTACTCTGTATGAACCCAGATCCAAGTATGATTGCAAGGACTCTGGTGTACTCAGCCATTTTTTTTTTTTGAATGTAGCGTTAAAGTCCAAGAACATGGATAATAACCACATTCTTTCAGAAACAAATGACTGGATTTATTTCACTCTTATAACAACCAGGCAGTGGTAAAGTAAACCTCAGCCAAACAAAAGAAAACAAATTTCAATGTCCATAGCGACATAGACATGAAGCTGCACTCACTTAACATCAGACCGAAGAAACCTGGTACCTTTTACCATAACAAACTCACTTAAATGTTTTAAGAGAAAGGGCTAAAATAAACATTAATTTAAGTGAATCTATTTTTTTCTCCACAAAAATCGGAGGTACCAAAGTCATAATAAAATGAAAGTAAAAGGACATTAACAGAAATACAAAGATAATTATGAAAAAGAAGGAATTTCATTGTTTTTGTTAAAGGGTAAAGGCAAAGAGAGAAGAAAAGATCTCTTTTTGGCCCAAAGCCATGGAACTTAAGACAAAACCTTTCTTTTGCAGAAAAGGAAATGTTCATTAACCGGGAAAAATGTCACCCAAATCTGAAGTAAGAGCAGCCCAGCCATGTTTAACTTTGACTTGGGATGTTGACATCAACACCAACATTCACGTGTTAACCCAGTGCCCTTATCAAAATAGAGAAACACTTTATTCACTTTGTTCCTGCTTTTACCTTTGGGTTAGCCCCATTCCCTATCTTTGGTAAACTTGAATTAAAGAAAAAACATGCAGAAATTTAACAAGAGTTATGAGTACCTTTTACAAAACCAAAATCCATTATATAAATCCTGATCTGGGACCCCTGAAAAGCTTTAGGACCCTAAAACTATTCCAATAGCATCTGTACGTTATACTTTAAACACTAAAGGGTCTATGAAGCTATTGCTGGATTAAAAACAAATGTTCAAAACAGCTCTCAGCTTATAATATGGGTGTCAACAATTGATAAAATAAATATACAAACCAGTCTACCCAGGAAATAGAATATGAGCCAAACATACTAAATATTAAGAAATACATCTTCTGAATCTATGAGCATGTTTAAAGGGCAAGTTTAAAATGTTTTTAATTTTTTAAGTCCCACAAAAGTGAGTAGTGCTGTAATAAAACCTAAAATCATTGATGTTTTAAGAAATGAGGTGTTGCTGCTAAGTTAGCATAGATTTCAAGTTGAGTCAAGACAATATGCTTTCTTCAGCTGCGTGCATGTGACTTGTGACATTCCTGTTAATTCTTTTTTGGCTTTCATTTAGAAGTTTTTAGAAGATAGCTGGCTGTGGCCTAAGTCAGTTCATCCAGCCATGCAAAGAAGGCCAGGTGTTCTAGAATGCATCCAGTGTGGCAAAAGTTCCTAGGTTTATTGTTCAATAAATATCATTGCATGAATAAGCAGATGCTAAATAATAGACCCTTTAGTATTTTAAACCAATTAGCTCTGTTTGCTATACAAATCTTACTAATTTTCAAAAGTCTTTTTGTGCAAATGACAGTTTATTCTTTACATTTCATATAAGAAAGAATGTGTTCAGGTGGCCTGACCAAAAACATGAAGGGATACTGCAGAAAAAAAGTTTTGATTTCTGGATTTAGCTTTACACAACTTCTCTGACACACTGTTACCCTCCAGCAAATAAGTAGAAAAAGCCCCATTCATGAACACAAAACGTCACGAATGTGATTCAGCATTAGGCAGCTTAAACATGAATTCAGATTCTCTCCCACTCCCACCATTTCATTGCCTTATAGGGAATGCAAAAGTTCTTTGGTAAAGCCAGTTGGCTATTTTCAAGCTTGTGTGATCTAACAGGAGAGCTCCAAGTTATTAGTCAGGAACTGAGTACATTGGTCATTCTTTTTGAGACTGTGTGTTATTTCACATATTGGCACCTCAGTGTCCTTTAGGTGCAAAATGGAACTGACAACTGTACTTGCCTTTTCTCTATCAGATGGAGAGGAGAAGTAAAGCCAACTCATCAACAATGCTCAATTCAAGATCTATTTCTGCGTACACTCAGATGACAGTGCTTATGTTCTGCATCCACCTCTGATTTGACACTTGCATGTTTGGCCTCAGCTTTGAAGGAAAAGAAAATATAAATTGGGGCCAGTAGCATTGCGTGCAGCTGGTTTGCCATTGCTGAAGACCTTTTGCACCTTTCTGATTACTTTCTGAAACTTGTGACACATTAACCCCTTCAGAAGATAGTAACGGCATGCCCTGCAAATGCCAAAACAGTGTCCTCTCCAGTGCGCACATCCGTGCATGCTTTTGGGTTTTTTGTTCTCTCTGCAGAGGAAACTGTTCTACTCAAGCCCTGCCTTGAATTGGGCTCCAAAGTGAAAGAGGCTTAGCTGCTTAACACATCTCTAGCCATGTTGATGACTAGAGCATCCAAATGAGGAGAGAGTAACAGTGAGGAAAAGTATCAGGAATCAATGATACAAAGACAACAGAAGCCCCAAAGCCTCCAAATGGATACCTCTTTGGCTTAGCGGAGCAGAGAGTCAGGCTGGAGCTGGTCCTACCCGAAAACAAACTCTCAGTGATTCCTAAAAGTGAACATGTGGGACGCAAATTCATCCATGTTTTCAGTTAGTGCAGCCAGAGCCTTGGAAGTCGGGCAATAGGCAGCAACAGATGGAGGGGTTTCTGTGGCAGCCAGCCTTTATTTACGTATGAAGGCTCCCTCTTGTGTGAGTGTCGACTAGTCATCTCCACTTAAACAATCCCTTTGCAGTGAATGGTTGTACTACACATAACACCTCCTTTGTCTGTGAGCCTCCAAAAAGCGATCTGCCTGTCTGCCCTCTGCCTGTGCATTTTTGTGGTGACGATCGACACAATTCCTTGCTCCGGAGACACCACAAATTGGTTGAAAGGGTAGCCTTTATTCATTGAAAACTAGATTTTCTTGGGTAATTGAAAACTAAAGGGAGTCAGGGTGAATTGTTTTAGCTTCTACCAATGAATTTCCTCTATTTATGACTTCAGAAGGTTACAAATTTCACCCTTATGATTTTAGAAAGCTACAGTAAGAAAATGAAAAGGAAAAAACAGAAAGGATGAAAGAAGAGAAAAAATCGAGTTTGGGTAAACCTTGAAAAGTTCTTTAGGTGTGCATTTTTTTTTTTTTTTTTTTTTTTTTGCATCTGAATCGAACACTCTCCTAGCATTTCTTGTTTCACTTTTGTACGGAGAGGTTTGAATATCTCTCACTGTACTTTGTCTCTTCACATGGATCTCAGGCAGGATCTAGATGCACATGGACCTGCCGGGGCCTGAAAATGTTTCTGCCATATTGGGGTGCGGCAGGCCACAGGTTGAGGTAGAGGTGATACCACCCAATACCAGTTATGCCCATCTACCACTGTGTCATCTCCTGCTCCCTTAAGGGTCCTCCCCTCAAAGGTATCCCATACCCAGAACACCGTACAGAGACATGTCACCCCTTGTGGAGGCTGATTTTATCAGAAGAACTTGGCAATGTGCTTGAATTTGAGATTCCAAAGAGAATGACAAAGAAGAAGGATCTATTATCTATTGGAACTGACATCTTTCTGTGATTAAATGAGATCATCCACTCAACAACCTAATATGAGAGATGTTTTTCTCTCTATTTTTTTTCCACAGAGGAGGAAACAAAGGCTCAGAAGTTTAAGTGCCTTGCTCCTAGCTGTAGATATGTAAATACCAAATGTCCCTTAGGATCCCAAGTCTGCCCTTTTCATTGTAAATTATTTTTTAAACAAATGGGCCATGAACAATAAACAAGTGAATAAATTCATAAACAAATACATTTAATTTAGTAGTTCGTGCATTTTCTGCTTTCTTTTTATATTAAATGAACCCAAAATTATCACTTAAAAGGGAAAGGACAAAAATCTTACTGTGTTTTCTTCATCCTTTATTGAAGAATAATTTACATACAATAAAATTTAGTGATTTTAAGTATACAGTTTGATGTATTTTGACACTTGTGTATAGTTAGGTAGCCGTCACTTTAATCAAGATGTAAAACATTTCTATCTCTCTAAAACATTTCCTCGTGCTCCTTTGCTGCTGGTTCCCTCCCCTGGCCCCAGCTCAGTCAGTCACTTTCTTGCATTCTATTGCTTTGGTTTCATCACAATCATTTTCAGTTTCTCAAAGGCCTCAGGATCTTTGCACATGCTGTGCTTTCTATCAAGAAGATCCTCCTTCTCATGCCTCATCCTTTCTTTCCCTAGCTAATATCTTCTCGTCTTTATATCTTAGCTTAAATGCCACTTCTTCAGAGGAGCTTTTCTTGATTCTGTCTCCTCACCATATCCAAAATAAAAGATACCTTTCACTGTTTTCATTTATAGCACTTATTTTTTTTCCTCCACATCATATATGACAATGTCTATATCATGGAGGTATTTATTTAATTACTATTCATCTCCCTGACTATACTTTTAAGTTCCATGAATGCAGAAAAAAAACTACTTTGCTAATAATTATATTCTCATTTCATCACTCATCATCACTTCACTCATACATCACTTATTTTCTTGGAATATGGTGGAACTCACATATTTTAAAAATGAATTAATTGAATGAATGATTTTATCTGTATAAAAATTTTGTCATCTTTCACCAATGAGAAATCCACTTCCTAGTAACCTTCAGCTGTTTATGTGAATTCGGTGTACTTTGAATATAGAATGCCTGAAACGCATCTCACAGTTCAAATGTTCTGCAGTGCAGGTCACCTGTGATTTTTAACCAACACAACTGAAAAGGAAAATCATGCTATTAGCACATATGGACTGCAGGTTAATAAGAAGTCACTACAAACTGCCAAGCAATTAAGCAGGAAGGTTAGAGATAGGCAAAATATGAAAGCTAGGACTGCCACCTTGATTTTGCTTGCCCAAGGCATGTTTTGGCTGCTCCTATAGTCTAGGCTTTGGAGTGGGCAGGAGAGGAGGAAATGATGGGAGGTTGTGGATTAGACTTCTGCATGTGCTACTGTAAAATCTCTCTCTCTGGTGATGGTGATGATGATGATGTTGGTGGAGCTGACAGGAGCAGTGGTCTTAGTGGTAAGAATAGTAATGCTAGCAAATATGCACTTGACATAGTAGAAACTCTTCTCCATCCATTACAACCCACACATTTTATCATCTCCTACACCCCATAAATTGGGTCCTATGACTTCCATGTTCAAGTCCCAGGTCACACACTTGTGGAGAACCATGCTGACAGTAAAGTTGGTGTGAGGAGTGGATGGCCACGAGGGATCAAGTCTGCCTTCTCTTCTACCCTGGAGCTGCCTGTGGAGAGTTTTCCTCTTTCTTTTGGGTTTATGATAGCTTGCCCTTTGGCCATGCTCAGAGAATTGGGATCATCATGGTCATCATTATAACTATTATGATCCAGGAGCTTTTATGAATCACTGAAGCTGAGTATAAGAGCGAAAGTGATGTGGTTGGAGAAAGCATACATATAAAATTATGTTCAGGGCAGTAAATCAGCTCAGGGATGACCTCAGCGTTGTAACTCATGTAAGGGCTTTGGTACTGGAGGAGGCTTGAGTCATTTATGACAGACAGCTGGGGCTGGGCCCAGGGAGTTAATTTGGCCACACATTCTCTGAGAGGTTAACTATGGCTTTGGTATTTGTGAGCAGTAGTTCAGACCCCTGGCACAACCATGTACCCACATTACTCTATTTTCCTCACCTGCCCATTGGAGGTCTCTTCCCTCTGAGTAAGCTGTAGCCCAGAATGATCATTTTATCAGTGTGTTACGTCTGTGAATCTTCTACTTTTCTTCTGCACTCTACACCAGATTTTTAGTTGCAAGCAGTGGCCATTCCATGGTGATCTCATCCAAGCTCATGGCTGAAAATACCACTGATACCCTGATGACTTTCAAATGTATACCTCCTGCCCAGACCATCCTCCAAATACAAACTTGTGCATCCAACTGCCTCATTGACATCTTCACTTGGATGTTGCAATGAACTGAATATTCCTGTCCCTCGAGAATGTATATGTTGAAATCCTACTACTCAGTGTGATAGTGTTTGGAGGACAGGCTTTGGGGAGGTAATTAGAGCATGAGGGTGGAACTCTCATGAATGAGATTTGGGTGCCCTTTTGAAGGGACCCCTGAGAGCTCTCTTACCCTTTTACTGCCATGTCAGGATACAATGAGAAGAAGGCAGTCTGCAACTTGGAACAGTGCCCTCACAAGAACCCAATCATTCTGGCACCTTGATCTCAAACATCCAGCTTCCAGAACTGTGAGAAATAAATTTTTATTTTTATAAGCCACCCAGTAAATGGCACTTTGTTAAAGAAGCCCAAATAGACTAAGACAGATGTCAAATAGACTATATAGCCAAATAGACTAAGACAGAAGCCAACTTCCAAAACTGAGCTGCTGACAACTGTTCCCAAACCCATAGCCTTCCTCATCCCAATTAATGACTGCCCTACTTACCAATTGTTCAGGCCCCCCAAATCTCTTTCTTTTACATGACTCATTTTATCTATCATCAAATTCAGACACTTCTACCTTCAATACATATTCAGAATCTGAATATTTCTCCCCACTTTGCTACTCCTTGCCTCATCTAAGCCACCATTACTTCTTACCTGGCTTATTATGATAACTTCAAAACTAAACTCCTTGCTTCTGCTCTTGCCTCATTTAAATCAATATTTAACATAGTATTCAGAAAAAAACCTGTTAAAATATAAGTCAGGTCACACCATTCCTCTGCTTGAAACCCTTCAATGACTTCTCATCTCAGGGCAAGAGCACTGATCTCGCCATAATGTGCACACAAGCACGATGTGAGCTGGTCCTTGTTACCTGCAGCACAGCCTCCCTCCTACTGCCCCATTTTACTCCAGTCTGTCTGGCTTCCTTGCTGTTCCTTGTATCCCTACCTTACTGTTTTGTATTTGCCTTTCCCAGAGCCTGGAATGCCTTTCTCCCAAGTATCTCTGTGACTTGCTCCCTCACTTTCTTGTGTATAAAATAGGAGTAGCAGTTTTAGATGAGGGAGCCACATGAGGAGGGGCTAAATGGAGATATAAATTATGAGTTTCAAGTGGGGGCTATGTGGTGTTTGAGAAAAGTATTTCAGGCAGAGGGTATGGCAAGTTCCAAGGCCTGCGGTTAGGTCATGCTTGGTTTGTTTAAAGCTGACCATTGTGGCAAAGGAGAGGGTGAGAGGAGATGGGATCAGATTTGGTAGGGGCCAGATCATAGAGCACCTTGAAAGATGTGGGCTTTCATTCTGAGTGAGATGGGAAGCCATTGATGGATGTTGAGCTGGTGAATAATGTGGTTTGACTTACTTTATAGAAGGATCCCTTTGGCTTCCATGTGTAGAATAAACTATAGGATCAATATTGGAAGCAGAGAGACAGGATAAGACAGTTGATATAGTCCAGAGGAGAAATTATGGTGGCTTGGGTTTCAGTTTAACATAATGGGTGTGAAAAGGGTCATTTGTATTCAGTCAACGAGGTTTTTTAATGGATTAGTTGTGGGATATGAAAGAAAAAGAGGAATCAAGGATGACTTCATATCTACTCCATGCCATCTTCTTTTGCCAAGACTCCTGTAACAGCCCCCTCATAGTTTCACCAGTATCTACTGTTGTCTCCTTACCAATCTGTTCTTTACACTTCAACAGAATGATCTTTCCAAAGCACAGTGGATTATTATTTACTTAAAAAAAAAGATAGAACTCTCTTACGTGGCCTACATAATTGAGATCCTCCTCCCTCTCTGGTTTCACATGTGCCTGGTCCTCTCTGTTCATTCTCTGTACTCCAGTCATCCTGGTTTTTGTCCATATTACTGTCATAATTCCTCCCACAGAAGGGTCTTTGTGCATGAGTTTCTCATGCCTGCAATATGTTCTTCTCTCCTCTTCACTGAGTTAATTATTACTTATGCTTCATATCTCAGTGTATTAGTCTGTTCTCATGCTGCTAATAAAGACATACCTGAGACTGGGTAATTTATAAAGGAAAGAAGTAATAGACTCACAGTTCCACATGGCTGGGGAGGCCTCACAACCATGGCTGAAGGTGCATGAGGAGAAAAGTCAAGTCTTACATGGCAACAGGCAAGATGGTGTATGCAAGGGGAACCATCAGATCTTGTGAGACTTATTTACTATCATGAGAACAGCATGGAAAAGACCTGCCCCCATGATTCAATTACCTCACACTGGGTCCCTCCCATGACACGTGGGAATTATGGGAACTACAATTCAAGATGAGATTTGGATGGGGACACAGCGAAACCATATCACTCAGTTCAATTAATATTTCTTAAAGGATACCCTCTCCAACCTCCCTGACAAGGTCAAACTCTCCTTCAGAGAACCATCTTCTGCTCCTTGGTAGAAATGTTCACAGTTGTAGTTTTCCTTTTTATTCATCTCTACCTTCTCTCTAAACTCTAAGCCCTGAGGTGGATATTATCTATTTTTTCTTACCATTGAGCGTTGCATTCCCCACACCTAATATTGTGCCTATGATGTGGTAAATTTGTTGAATGAGTGAATGAGTATTTTTCATGCAGAAATGAGGATATTTCTTTTCAATGGTTCTCTAAACATTGATCCTGTCTCCCTCATATTTCTTTATCCATGACCAGTTGTACTGCTCAAGCTCCCAACTCTAGTCTGCAGAGGGACCCCATTCCTTCATTTGTGTGATTTCGTTGTAGGTTCCAGTTACACGAAGTGTATGAGCAAACATAGGACTATAGGATACTGAGCACAACACTTTGGCAATAAATTTGGATGCCTTTTGAAGGAACCATACAATAAGTCACATTTTCCAAAGGGTTTTCTTATGTTAATCCTCACAGCAATCCGATGAGGCAGGAAGATGGGAATTATACCCATGATGATAACAAGAAAAATAATTGAATGAGAACACCTTTATTGAGGAAATTAATGGAAGCTACTTTGCTTCTGAGCAAGAAGAGAAAATTGCTGATGAGAAACTAAAGCATTCCTTTCTAAACTATTCACATGTGGCTATTGAACTTGAAATGTGGCTAATTCTTTTTTTTCTTTCTTTTTATTTTTTGAGATAGGGTCTCATTCTGTTGCCGAGGCTGGAGTGCAGTGGCGCAATCTCAGCTCACTGCAACCTCTGCCTCTCTCCTTTTATGGCTGAGTAGTATTCCGTGTTGTGTGTCTATATCACTTTTTCTTTATCCACTTGTTGGTTGATGGGCACTTAGGTTGGTTCCATATTTTTGCAATTGTAAATTGTGCTACTATAAACATGCACGTGCGTATGCCTTTTTCATATAATGACTTCTTTTCCTTTGGGTAGATACCCAGTAGTGGGATTGCTGGATCAAATGGCAGTTCTGCTTTTAGTTCTTTAAAGTATCTCCCTACTGTTTTTCATAGTGGTTGCACTACTTTACATTTCCACCAGAAGTGTAAAGGTGTTCCCTTTTCACCACATCCACACCAACATCTATTATTTTTTGACTTTAATTATGGCCATTCTTGCAGGGATAAGGTGGTATCCCACTGTGGTTTTAATTTGTATTTTTCTGATAGTTAGTGATATTGAGCATTGTTTCATAAGTTTTTTGGCCATTTGTATATCTTTTAAAACAATTGTCTATTCATGTCCTTTGCCCACTTTTTGGTGGGATTATTGGCTTTTTTCTTGCTAATTTGTTTGAGTTCCTTATAGATTCTAGATATTAGTCCTTTGTTGGATGCATAATGTGCAAATATTTTCTCCTACTCTGTGAGTTGTCTGTTTACTCTGATGATTATTTCTTTTGCTGTGCAGAAGCTTTTTAGTTTAATTAGGTCCCATTTATTTATTTTTGTTTTTGTTGCATTTGCTTTTGGGGCCTTAGTCATGAATTCTTTGCCTAAGCCAAAGTCTAGAAGAGTATTTGCAATGTTATCTTCTATTTTTTATGGTTTCAGGTTTTAGATTTAAGTTTTTGATTCATTTCGAGGTGATTTTTGTATATAGTGAGAGATTAGAATCCAGTTTCATTCTTCTACATGTGGCTTGCCAGTTTTCCCAACACCAATTATTGAATAGGGTGTCCATTCCTCAATTTATGTTTTTGTATGCTTTGTCAAAGATCAGTTAGATAGAAGTATTCGGCTTTATTTCTGGGTTGTCTATTCTGTTTCATTGGTACTGAATTTGTTTGTCAGATCTAGGAGCTTTTTGGATGAGTCTTTAGGGTTTTCTAGGTATACAATCATATCATTGGTGAACAACAACAGTTTGATGTCCTCTTTTCGAATTTGGATGCCCTTTATTTCTTTCGCTTGTCTGATTGCTTTGGCTAGGACTTCCAGTACTATTTGAATAAAAGTGGTGAAAGTGTGCATCCTTGTCTTGTTCCAGTTTTCAGGGGTAATGCTTTCAACTCTTCCCCATTCAGTATGATGCTGGCTGTGGGTTTGTCATATATGGCTTTAATTACTTTGAGGCATGTCCCTTCTATGCCTGTTTTGTTGAAGGATTTTATCATAAAAGGATGCTGGATCTTATCAAATGCTTTTTTGCATCTATTAAGATGATCATATGATTTTTGTTTTTAATTCTGTTTATGTGATGCATCACATTTATTGACTTGCAAATGTTAAACCATCCCTGTATCCCTGGTATGGAAACCACTTGATCATGATGTATTATCTTTTTGATATGCTGTTGGATTTGGTTAGCTAGTATTTTGTTAAGGATTTTTGCATCTATGTTCATCAGAGATATTGTTGTATAGTTTTCTTTCATTGTTAAGTCCTTTCCTGGTTTTGGTATTAGGGTGATACGGGCTTCATAGAAAGATTTAGGGTGGATTCCCTCCTTTTGTAACTTTTGGAAAAGTATCATTAAGAAGTACCAATTCTTCTTTGAATGTTTGATAGAATTCAGCTGTGAATACATCTGGTCTTGGGTGTTTTTTTGTTGGCAAATTTTTTTTATTATTGATGTGGTGTCACTTCTGGTTATTGGTTCGTTCAGGGTTTCTATTTCTTGCTGATTTAATCTAGGAGGCTTGTATAATTCCAGGAATTCATCCATCTCCTCTAGATTTTCTAGTTTTGTGCATAAGGCCTTCATAGTAGACTTGAATGATCTTTTGTATTTCTGAGATGTAGCTTTAATATCTCCAGTTTCATTTCTTTATTTTTTATTATACTTTAATTTCTGGGATACAGAGTGCAGAACGTGCAGGTTTGTTACATAGGCATTATTGTGTCATGGTGGTTTGCTGTACCCATCAACATGTTATCTACATTAGATATTTCTTCTAATGCTATCCCTCCCCTTGTCCGCAACCACTGACAGGCCCCAGTGTGTGATATTCCGCTCCCTGTGCCCTTGTGTTTTCATCGTTCAACTCCTACTTATGAGTGAGAAAATGTGGTGTTTGATTTCTTGTCCCTGTGTTAGTTTTCTGAGGATGATGGTTTCCAGCTTCATCCATGTCCCTGCAAAGGACATGAACTCATCGTTTTTTATGGCTGCATAGTATTCCATTGTGTATATGTGCCACATTTTCTTTATCCAGTCTATAATTGATGGGCATTTGGGTTGGTTCCAAGTCTTTGCTATCGTGAATAGTGCTGCAATAAACATAGGTGTGCATGTGTCTTTACAGTAGAATTATTTTATAATCCTTTGGATATATACCCGGTAATGGGATTGCTGGGTCAAATGATATTTCTGGTTCTAGATCCTTGAGGAATTGCCACACTGTCTTCCTCAATGGTTGAACTAATTTCATTCCCATCAACAGTGTAAAAGCATTCCTATTTCTCCATGTCCTCTCCAGCATTTGTTGTTTCCTGACTTTTTAAAGATCGCCATTCTAGCTGCCATGAGATGGTATCTCCTTGCAGTTTTGATTTGGATTTCTCTAACGACCAGTGATGATGAGCTTTTTTTTAATGTTTGTTGGCCATATAAATGTCTTCTTTTGAGAGGTGTCTGTTCATCTCCTTTGCCCAATTTTTGGTGGGGTTATTTGTTTTTTTCTTGTAAATTTGTTAAAGTTCCTTGTAGATTCTGAATATTAGTCCTTTGTCAGATGGGTAGCTTGCAAAAATTTCCTCCCATTCCGTAGGTTGCCTGTTAACTCTGATGATAGTTTCTTTTGCTGTGCAGAAGCTCTTTAGTTTAATTAGATCCCATTTGTCTATTTTGGCTTTTGTTGCCATCGCTTTTGGTGTTTTAGTCATGAAGTCTTTGCCCATGCCTATATCCTGAATGGTATTGCCTAGGTTTTCTTCCAGGGTTTTTATGGTTTTAAGTCTCATGTTTAAGTCTTTAATCCATCTTGAGTCAATTTTTGTATAAGGTGTAAGGAAGGGGTCCAGTTTCACTTTTCTGCATATGGCTAGCCAGTTTTCCCAACACCATTTATTAAATAGGGAATCCTGTCCCCATTGCTTGTTTTTGCCGGGTTTGTCAAAGATCAGATGGTTGTAGATGTGTGGTGTTATTTCTGAGGCCTCTATTCTGTTCCATTGGTCTATATATATGTTTTGGTACCAGTACCGTGCTGTTTTGGTTACTGTAGCCTTGTAGTATAGTTTGAAGTCAGGTAGCGTGATGTCTCCAGCTTTCTTCTTTTTGCTTAGGATTGTCCTGGCTATATAGGCTCTTTTTGGTTTCACATAAAACTTAAAGCAGTTTTTCTAATTCTGTGAAGAAAGTTGATGGTAGCTTAAAGGGAATAGCATTGAATCAATACATTACTTTGGGCAGTATGGCCATTTTCACAATATTGATTCTTCCTATCCATGAACATGGAATGTTTTTCCATTTGTTTGTGTCCTCTCTTATTTCCTTGAGCAGTGGTTTGTAGTTCTCCTTGAAGAGATCCTTCACATCTCTTGTAAGTTGTATTCCTAGGTATTTTATTCTCTTTGTGGCAATTGTGAATGGGAGTTCACTCATGATTTGGCTCTCCGTTTTTCTATTATTGGTGTATAGGAATGCTTGTGATTTTTGCACATTGATTTTGTATCCTGAGACTTTGCTGAAGTTGCTTATCAGCTTAAGGAGATTTTGGGCTGAGACGATGGTGTTTTCTAAATATACAATCATATCATCTGCAAACGGAGAGAATTTGACTTCTTCTCTTCCTATTTGAATACCATTCATTTCTTTCTCCTGCCTGATTGCCCTGGCCAGAACTTCCAATACTATGTTGAATAGGAGTGGTGAGAGAGGGCATTCTTGTCTTGTGCCAGTTTTCAAAGGGGATGATTCAGGCTTTTGCCTGTTCAGTATGATACTGGCTGTGGGTATGTCATCAATAGCTTTTATTATTTTGAAATATGTTCCATCAATACCTAGTTTATTGAGTGTTTTTAGCATGAAGGGGCGTTGAATATTTTTGAAGGCCTTTTCTGCATCTATTGAGATAATCATGTGTTTTTTGTCATTGGTTCTGTTCATGTGATTGATTACATTTATCGATTTGCATATGTCGAACCAGCCTTGCATACCAGGGATGAAGCCATCTTCATCATGGTGGATAAGCTTTTTGATGTGCTGCTGGATTTGATTTGTCAGTATTTTATTGAGAATTTTCACATCGATGTTCATCAGCGATATTGGCCTGAAATTTTCTTGTTCTGTTGTGTCTCTGCCAGGTTTTGGTATCAGGATGTTGCTGGCCTCATGAAATGAGTTAGGGTGGATTCCCTCTTTTCCTATTGTTTGGAATAATTTTAGAAGGAATGGTACCAGCTCCTCTTCGTATCTCTGGTAGAATTCGGCTGTGAATCAGTCTTGTCCTAGGCTTTTTTTGGTTGGTAGACTGTGAATTACTGCCTTAATTTCAGAACTTGTTATTGGTCTATTCGGGGATTTGACTTCTTCCTGGTTTAGTCTTGGGAGGTGTTGCAGGAAGTCAGGGACCCTGAACAGAGGGACTGGCTGAAGCTTTGGCAGAAGAACATAAATTGTGAAGATTTCATGGACATTTATCAGTTCCCAAAATTAATACTCTTATAATTTTTTATGCCTGTCTTTACTTTAATCTCTTAATCCCATCATCTTCGTAAACTGAGGTTGTATGTCACCAGGACCCTGTGTTGGTTGTGTTAACTGTACAAATTGTTTGTAAAACATGTGTTTGAACAATATGAAATCAGTGCACCCTGAAAAAGAACAGAATAACAGCAATTTTCAGGGAACAAGGAAAGATAACCATGAGGTCTGACTGCCTGTGGGGTCAGGCAGAATAGAGCCATATTTTTCTTCTTGCAGAAAGCCTATAGACAGATATGCGAGTAGGAGAAATATTGCTGAATTATTTTCCTAGCAAGGAATATTAATAATTGAGACCCTGGGGAAGGAATGCGTTCCTGGGGGTAGATCTATAGATGGCCACTCTGGGAGTGTCTGTCTTATGAGTTTGAGATAAGGACTGAAATATGCCCTGGTCTCCTGCAGTACCCTCAGGCTTAATAGGATTGGGAAATTCCAGCCTGGTAAATTCTAGTCAGACCGGTTGTCGGCTCTCAAACCCTGTTTTCTGTTAAGATGTTTATCAAGACAATGTGTGCACAACCGGACATAGGCCCTCATCAGTAATTCTAATTTTGCCTTGCCTTGTGATCTTTATTGTCCTTTGAAGCATGTGATCCTTGTGACCTACTCCCTGTTCATACACCCCCTCCCCTTTTAAAATCCCTAATAAAAACTTGCTGGTTTTGCTGTTTGAGGTCACCATCACAGTCCTACATATGTGATGACACTCCTGGAGACCCAGCTGTAAAATTTCTCTCTTTCTCTTTATTTCTCAGACTGGCCAAAACTCAGGGAAAATAGAAAGAACCTACATTGAAATATTGGGGGGAGGGTGTATGCATCCAGGAATTTATCCATTTCTTCTAGATTTTCTAGTTTATTTGCATAGAGGTGTTTATAGTATTCTCTGATGGTAGTTTGTATTTCTGTGGGATCGGGGTGATCTCGCCTTTATCATTTTTTTATTGTGTCTATTTGATTCTTCTCTCTTTTCTTCTTTTTTAGTCTGGCTAGCAGTCTATCTATTTTGTTAATCTTTTCAAAAAATCAGTTCCTGGATTCATTGATTTTTTGAAGGATTTTTTGTGTCTCTGTCTCCTTCAGTTCTGCTCTGATCTTAGTTATTTCTTGCCTTCTGCTAGCTTTTGAATTTGTTTACTCTAGCTTCTCTAGTTCTTTTAATTGTGATGTTAATGTGTTGATTTTAGATCTTTCTCACTTTCTCCTGTGGGCATTTAGTGTTATAAATTTCCCTCTAAACACTGCTTTAGCTGTGTCCCACAGATTCTGGTACATTGTATCTTTGTTCTCATTGGTTTCAAAGAACTTATTTATTTTTGCCTTAATTTTGTTATTTACCCAGTATTCATTCAAGAGCTGGTTTTTCAGTTTCCGCATAGTTGTGCAGTTTTGAGTGAGTTTCTTAATCCTGAGTTCTAATTTGATTGCACTGTGGTCTGAGAGACTGTTATGATTTCCATTCTTTTGCATTTGCTGAGGCATGTTTTACTTCCAATTATGTGGTCAATTTTAGAATAAGTGAGATGTGGTTCTGAGAAGAATGTGTATCCTGCTGATTTGGGATGGAGAGTTCTATAGATGTTTATTCAGTCTGCTGGGTCCAGAGCTGACTTCAAGTCCTGAATATCCTTCTTAATTTTCTGTCTCATTAATCTGTCTAATATTGACAGTGGGGTGTTAAAGTCTCCCACTATGATTCTGTGGGAGTCTACGTCTCTTTGTGGGTCTGTAAGAAGTTGCTTTATGAATCTGGGTGCTCATGTATTGGGTACATGTATATTTAGAATAGTTAGCTCTTCTCGTTGCGATAATCCCTTTACCATTATGTAATGCCCTTCTTTGTCTTTTTTGATCTTTGTTGGTTTAAAGTCTGTTTTATCGGAGACTAGTATTGCAACCCCTGCTTTTTTTTTTTTTTTTTTTTTTTGCTTTCCATTTGATTGGTAAATATTCCTCCATCCCTTTGTTTTGAGCCTATGTGTGTCTTTGCACATGAGATGGGTCTCCTGAATACAGCACACTGAGGGGTCTTGACTCTTTATCCTATTTACCAGTTTGTGTCTTTTAATTGGGGCATTTAGCCAGTTTACATTTAAGGTTAATATTGTTATGTGTTAATTTGATCCTGTCATTATGATGCTAGCTGGTTATTTTGCCCGTTAGTTGATGCAGTTTCTTCATGGTGTCAATAGTCTTTACAATGTGGCATGTTTTTGCAGTGGCTGGTACTGGTTGTTCCTTTCCATATTTAGTGCTTCCTTCAGGAACTCTTGTAAGGCAGGCCTGATGGTGCCAAAATCTCTCAGCATTTGCTTCTCTGTAAAGGATTTTATTTCTCCTTTGCTTATGAAGATTAGTTTTGCTGGATATGAAATTCTGGATTAAAAATGCTTTTCTTTAAGAATGTTGAATGTTGGCCCCCATTCTCTTCTGGCTTGTAGGGTTTCTGCAGAGAGATCCGCTGTTAGTCTGATGGGCTTCCCTTTGTGGGTAACCCAACCTTTGTCTCTGGCTGCCCTTAACATTTTTTCCTTCATTTCAACCTTGGTGAATCTGATGATTTTGTGTCTTGGGGTTGCTCGTCTCGAGGAGTATCTTTGTGATGTTCTCTTTATTTCCTGAATTTGAATTTTTGCCTGTCTTGCTAGGCTGGGGAAGTTCTCCTAGATAATATTCTGAAAAGTGTTTTCCAACTTGGTTCCATTCTCCTTGTCACTTTCACGTACACCAATCAAACTTCACTTTGGTCTTTTCACATAGTCCCATATTTCTTGGAGGCTTTATTCGTTCCTTTTCATCCTTTTTCGCTCTAATCTTGTCTTCATGCATTATTTCAGTAAGTTGATCTTCAATCTCTGATATCTTTTTCTGCTTGATTGATTTGGCTATTGATACTTGTGTGTGCTTCATGAAGTTCTTGTGCTGTGTTTTTCAGCTCCATCAGGTCATTTATGTTCTTCTCTGAACTGGTTATTCTAGTTAGCAGTTCCCGTAATCTTTTATCAACGTTCTTAGCTTTCTTGCTTTGGGCTAGAACATACTCTTTTAGCTTGAAGTAGTTTGTTATTACCCACTTTCTGAAGTCTACTCTGTCAATTTGTCAAATTCATTCTCTGTCCGGTTTTGTTTCCTTGCTGGCGAAGAGTTGTGATGTTTTGGAGGAGAAGAGGCTTTCTAGTTTTTGGACTTCTCAGCCTTTTTGCACTGGTTTTTCCTCATCTTTGTGGATTTATCTACCTTTGATCTTTGATGTGGGTGACCTTCAGATGGCATTTTCGCATGGGTGTCCTTTTTCTTTATGTTGATGCTATTGCTTTTTTTTTTTTGTTAGTTTTCCTTCTAACAGGCCCCTCTGCTGCAGGTCTGCTAGAGTTTGCTGGAGGTCTACTCCGACCCTGTTTGCCTGGGTATCACCAGTGGAGGCTGCAGACCAGCAAAGATTGCTGCTTGTTCCTTCCTCTGGAAGCTTCATCCCAGAGGGGCACCCACCAGATGCCAGCCAAACCTCTTCTGTATGAGGTGCCTGTTGTCCCCTGCTGAGAGGTGTCTCCTAGTCAGGAGGCATAGGGGTCAGGAACCCACTTGAGGAGGCAGTCTGTCCCTTAGCAGAACTCGAGCACTGTACTGGGTGATCTGCTGCTCTCTTCAGAGCCAGCAGGTGGGAATGTTTAAGTCTGCCGAAGCTGCGTCCACATCTGCCCCTGCCCCTAGGTGCTCTGTTCCAGGGAAATGGGAGTTTTATCTATAAGCCCCTGACTGGGGCTGCTCCCTTTCTTTCAGAGATGCCCTGTCCAGAGAGGAGGAATCTAGAAAGGCAATCTGGCCACAGCGACTTTGCTACACTGCAGTAGGTTCTGCACCCAGTTCGAACTTCCCAGCAGCTATGTTTACACTATAAGTGGAAAACCACCTACTCAAGCCTCTGTAGTGGCAGTCGCTCCTCCCCCCCACCAAGCTCAAGCATCCCAGGTTGACTTCAGACTGCTGTGCTGGCAGTGAGAATTTCAATCCAATGTATGTTAGCTTGTTGGGCTCTGTGGGGATAGGATCCACTGAGCAAGACCACTCGGCTCCCTGGCTTCAGTCTCCTTTCCAGGGGAGTGAACAGTTCTGTCTCACTGGTGTTACAGGTGCCACTGGGGCACAAAACAAAACTCCTACAGCTAGCTTGGTGTCTGCCCAAATGGCTGTCCAGTTTTGTGCTTGAAATCCAGGGCCCTACTGGTGTGGGCCCCTGAGGGAGTCTCCTGGTCTGCAGGTTGCAAAGACCATGGGAAAAGTGTAGTATCTGGGCTGGATAGCACCATCCCTCATGGCTTCCCTTGGCCAGGGGAGGGAGTTCCCTGACCTGTTGTGCTTCCTGGGTGAGGTGATGCTCCATCCTGCTTCTGCTGGCCCTCCATGGGCTGCATGCACTGTCTAACCAGTCCCAGTGAGATGAACCAGGTACCTTAGTTGTAAATGCAGAAATCACCTCCTTCTGCGTTGGTCTCACTGGGAACTGCAGAGGGGTGCTGTTCTTATTTAGCCATCTTGCCAGCCCCTTCCTCCAGTTTCATTTCTAATTGAGCTTATTTGTATCTTCTATCTTCTTTTTTTTTTTTTTTTTTTTTTTTTTGGTTTATCTCACTAATATCTATCAACTTAGTTTACCTTTTCAAAAAACCGGCTTTTTGTTTCATTTACCTTTTGTATTTTTTTTCAATTTCGTTTAGTTCTTCTCTGATCATTGTTATTTCTTTTCTTCTGTTGGGTTTAGGTTTGGATTGTTCTTGTTTATCCAGTTGCTTGAGGTGTGACATTAGGTTGTCTATTTGTGCTTTTTCAGGCTTTTTGATGTAGGCATTTAATGCTACGAGCTTTCCTCTTAGCACCACTTTTACTGCATCTCAGTGGTTTTGAGAAGTTGTGTCACTGGTATTCATTTCAAGGAATTTTAAAATTTCCATCTTGATTTCACTAACCCCAAAATTATTCCAGAGCAGATTATTTCATTTCCATGTATTTGTATAGTTTTGAGAGTTCTTTTTGAAATTGATTTCCAGTTTTATTCCATTGTAGTCTGAGAAGATACTTGATATGATTTCAATTTTCTTAAATTTATTGAGACTCATTTTGTGGCTATAATATGGTCTATCTTGGAGAATGTTCCATGTGCTGATGAAAAGAATGTATATTCTGCAGTTGTTGGGAAGAAGGTTCTGTAAATATCTATTAAGTTCATTTGTTCTAGGGTATAGTTTAAGTCCACTGTTTCTTCATTGACTTTCCGTCTTGATGATCTAACTAGTGCTTTCAGTATTGAAGTCCCCCACAATTATTTTGTTGCTCTCTATCTTGAGATGTGACTGATTCTAATTGAGATTTGTTGTAAGCATCAAAAGGCACCTAGATTTAGAAAAGTTATTATAGAATGTTGATTACAAACTGAAATAACATCTTGGATATATTGGGTCAAATAAAATATATTATTTGTAGTAGTTTGAATAATGACCCCTAAAGATATCAGATTTTAATCATTGGAACTTAAACTGTTACCCTACTTAGAAAAAGAATTTTTGCAGATATGATCAAAATTAATTAATTTTACAAATATGATTAAAGGATCTTGAGATAGGGAGATGATTCTGGATTATCCAAGTGGGCCCTAAGTGCAGTCACATGTATCCTTAGAAGAGGAAGGTAGAGGGAGTCAGACACATATATGGAGAAGAAAGTGATGTGAAGATGGAGGCAGAAATGAGTGATGTGGCCACAAGCCAAGAAATGACAGCAGCCATCAGAAGCTGGAAGAGGCAAGGAACGATCCTCCCTAGAGCTTCTGGAGATAAAGTGCAGTCCTGCTGACATTTTGATTTCAGCATAGTGGTACTGATTTTGGACTTCTGGCTTCCAGAACTCCAAGTTAATCCATATGTTGTTGTCTTAAGCCCCCAAGTTTGTGGTGATTTGTTGCAGGAAATGAATACATTATTAAAGTTAACCTAATTAATTTTACTTTTTAAAAAATGTGACTACTAGTTAATTTAAAATTACATATGTGGCTCACAGTATATTTCTCTTGGACAGTGCTGCTTTAGATCATATGAAGCGTAACTATAAAGATGGCAATGACCAGCTGTTCTCTAAATCTGTAGTGGACAGAATAAAAGCTAATGACTTGAGTATGCAAAGAGTTTGAATATATAAAAAAGGATAAACTCGGTTTAAGGGCTCCTAAATATTGAAATTCACAAACAGAGGCCCTGAAATGTGTATGCCTACAAATCTTAGAAAATAGGAGCAGCAGCCATATGTCAGTCAACTTTTCTATAGAACTGTCTGAAAGATGGGACTGGGATCAGATGACTGAAATCCTGTCTCCACTTGACTCACACTAAATTGTTGAAATTATAAGGCAAAGTATTTTCCTAATCAAATTTAATTTCTACTTCTCTCTGGAGCTTTTGTCTTCTTCAGTGGTGCTGAATAAGCAGATCAAGGATAATGAAGTCAAGAACAAACTAAACCTAGTTAGAATCTAATGTCAGGAGTGAAAGGACTGGGATAAGATTCTTGTGCTAGAGAGTGTCAAGCTACTTGGCCATAATGGGACCTTTGGGTGAGTAACATGATCTGCCTGAGCCTCAATTTTATCATCTATAGAATGGATACAATAATATCTATCTTGAGTTTGTTCTAAAGATTGGAAATAATATATGTAAACTACATGACACATAATAGAAGCATAGTACAGAGCTATATTTTATTTATTATTTGTATTGAGGTTTTTCACATTGATATAGTGAATGAATAGAAGTAATGATTTCAAATTGAACTTTCCCAAGATGGCATCATATTATCTAGTGTGGTCAGAAAAGGTGGAGGTATGGGTTGTAAAAAGTTGTAAGTCAGCAGTTTTCTGGATTTGTAATAGACTGGCATTGCAGCCAGACTTGAAACTGTGTTTTATCTATGGAATTTAAACTCAGTCTGGAGTAGTCTCTGTTCTACAGAAGTGAAGGCCACTAAGTATCCTAAATGGTTACCTAAATAGCTACCATTAAGGCACTTTTCTAAATAATTTTTAATGAGTATACCAATTGACTTAATTTTAATAGCAATGTACAGTAGTCCTCCCTTACCCTGTTTCAGTTACCCGTGGCCAACCAGGGTCCAAAAGTGTTAAATGAAAAATTTCAGAAATAAATAACTCATCAGTTTTAAATTGCACACCATTCTGAGTAATGTGATAAACCCCTGCTCTGTCCTGCTCCATCTCTCTTAGGACATGAATCAGCCCTTTGTTCAGCATAACCATGCTGTATATGCTACCTGCTTGTTAGTCACTTAGTAGCTGTCTCAGTTATCAGATGAAAAGAAACAGTACAGTTATGTACCCCATAACAAAGTTTTGATCAGTAATGGACCACATATATGACATTGCTCCCATAGGATTATAATGCGGCTGAAAAATTTCTACCACCTAGAGATATAAGCACAATGCATTTTTTTCTTTGTTTAGATATATTTAGATACATAAATATTTATCATTGTGTTACAATTCCCTACAGTAACATGCTATACAGATTTGTAGCCTGAGACCAATAGGCTGTGCTATATAGCTTAGGTGTGTAGTAGACTATACCATTTAGGTTTGGTAAGTATAGACTGTGATATTTGCACAATGACAAAGTTGCTTAATCATGCATTTTTCAGGACATATGCCTGTCATTAAGCAACATATGACTGTATATATAGGGTTTGGTGTGATCGCAGTTTCAGGCATCCGCTGGGGACCTTGGGACATATCCTCCATAGATAAGGGGGTAGAACTGTATGTGGTAGATACTATTATTATCATTTCCTTTTAATAGAAGAAGAAATTGAGACACAGGGAGATAAAGTACTTTGCTTAATGCAAGCACTTAGTAAAGACTGAGATGGGGGTTTGAATTCAGTCTATCTAGCTTGAATATCCTAGCTATTATAGCTGCTGTGCTGTATATGTATACTGCCTTTTATAGAGTATGAATCCTTCAAGACAGACCAAGCTATTAACAAGTGTTCATTGATGATGGCTTCAGTTCACCCACACACATTTATTGGACACATATTATTTGTAACACATTGTGCAAGACTTCAGAGGAACACAAAGACAAATAAGACAGCATCTGTCCTCGAGGAGTTCATAATGTAACATGCAAGATGGTTATTTAGCAATAAATTATGATGCAAATAAATCAAAGTAACTGTGAACCAGAGGTGTAAGCAACTACTATTGGATAAGAGCCTCTCCTGTGGGCTCCCAAATCCCATATGAAGACCTTTATTGCATGTATTATGCTTGAATGCAATAATCTGTCCAGTTCTTAGTCTTCCTTGCTAGACTAGGACAATAAGCATTATGTCTTATTCATCTTTATTTTCCAAGTATCTATCAAATTCCCTGGCATCTAGTGGGTTGTCAGTATTGTTTATGGAACACATGAATAAGTGAAAAAATGGATGCAGAGGAGAAGTCGATCAAAGAACTGGGAGTAGCCAGCAAAGCTGTACTACAACATTGGCTTTGAGGTAGATTTTGGAAGATAAGGAAGATTTTGATAAAAGAAAAAGTGGGAGTTAAGGCAGTGCATAGGATAGACAGAGGAACAGTATAAACAGAAGCTTGGTGAGGTGGAAGTGGTTTATCAGACCAGTGTACTGTTCTATGACAAAGGCCTGTGGTTGTGTTGACCAAAGCTAAGGTCAAGGACAGAACTAATAATAGTTGTCCCAATAATTGAGGCAAATCCCCTAAACAACTTGGTATGGAGAAAAACAACTTGATGAGTGCTTGAATTGTTTTGAATAATAAACACATATCATTTATTGAGTACTTATTCCATGTCCATTATTTCACAGATATTAGTTCATCCTCACAGCATTATATATCTGCTTATTTTACACTAAAGTTCAGTGTAGATGACTTTCCCACATAGCTCATATGAGGTGGAGTCAGGATTTGAGTCCAAGTCCTTCTGAGTCCAAGGCTCATGATACCTATATCATGTAGACCTGACACAGTCTGCGTATATTCATTAAACTTATGTATATTCTTTATCTTTCATTTTTTCTTTCATATGTACTTAAAATCTGCATTCATTAGTAAGGGCTCAGAAATGCTTGAGACTGAAGTTGAATCAAGAAAGCAAGATTTTTTTTTTTTATATCCCTTCAGCAAAGCAGGAGGCTGCAGCTCATTGGAACTCATCTTCCTATATACTCGAGTGTCTCCAGAGAATTCTGAAAGCTGGGCATGAATATGTAGACATGCAAAAAATGACCAAGGCAGATGTTACACTGATCTCTACTGGGCCGTTTTACATCATAGTAGCTAATATACAGCACCTTTTTTGGCTGCCAACATTTTTTTGTCCCTGTTTATCAACCTCCTTTTATTTCTATCCCCCACTACCAGGCCCTTACATTTACATTTTTCTCTGTGTCCCCAGAAGAAGCTTACTTTTAATTTTTCCCTTTTACAGAGCAGGTTAATGCAAGCCTGTCCAATGAATGCAGAGTTGGCAGAAGAACTCATTGGTTTTGAGCTGCTGTGACAGGTGAACACTCAGATCTCCCTGGACCCCACCTAATCACTACTTCTGCAATCTCTGATATGTTTTCTTTATAATAAGCCTGTGCACTGTGGATAACTCTATGGAAATTTTAGAAAGTCAAAAACCCATTATTGGCCAATGGATTCTCTTTAATTATCTGATATCCAGTGCCAGGGAGGTGTCAGTGTATAGTGGCATAGGCCTCGTTTTCTCTTCCTTTACACTGATGGCACTGCTGAGCTCCTGCCAGAGAGTCAGGTTCTCTAACGTTTTCTTTAGTTGTCATGATGAAGTAATCCACCCAAGGTATATGATTGGATTCAACTAGATACATTTATTCATTCACTCCTCAGATATTTATTGAATGCTGGGCATAACGTTAAACAATAGGGTTATGATAGTGATAAGACAGAAGGGCTCCTTGCCTTCATGGAAATTATATTCAAGTAAGGAGAATGACAGTGAACAAAGAGACTTTCAAACAATATTATTACAGATTGACACATCTGCTGTGAAAAAATAACAAGGGGATGGAATGGAAAGGAGCCGTGGAAGGCTCCATTAGAGAGCTGGCCAGTGAAGGCCTTTCTGAAGAGCTTGTGACCAGTGGGCTTAAGCTTGAAGCAAAAAAATAATTAACCATGAGGAGAGTTGGGGGAAAGCATTCTTGAATAACACATGGGAAGTTCTGGTAGTGGGAAAAGAGCACTCAAGAACTTAAAAGGAGCTCAGTGTGGTCAGAGCACAGAAATAAGAATGGAAAATGGTAGGAGTTTAAGTTGCAGGAGTCAGCAGGAGGTAGAACCCATAGGACATTGTAGGCCATGGTAAGGAGATTGCATTTTACTTGAAGAGCACTGGGATTCATTCAAGGATTTTAAGCAAGCAAGTGACATATTTATATGTACATCCTGCGTTCTAAAGCAAAATTTGATTTGTACAAATGTAACAGGAGGCAAGATGATAGATACTGTGTTCAAAACAGTTTATTTAGTAAAGATTCCAGCAACCGGGTCTATGTTGGAAATAAATAGGCCCTGTTTTGGGGAGTTTAACTATAGTAGAGAAGGCTAGTGGTGCAACAAAATTCATTCCCCTTCCCTGGTGTGGAGTTGTCAGTGGAAGAAGGCTCCCCAGTCAGGGACTACATTTCCCAGCCTCCCTTGTATCCATGTGTAGCCATATGACCAGTTTTCATTAATAGAATGTGAGTGGAAGTAATGCGTAATTTATTTCTGGATTGGAACTTTTAAGAAGAGGATAGGCTTTTATCCACAGGTAGGGGAAGAGGATTCTGGAGCTCTAAGGATTTGTGGATCTCAAGGTGGGAGAAAGCTGACTTCTATTTTTTTGTTTGTTTGTTTGTTTTGTTTTTTGAGACAGAGTCTCGCTCTGTCACCCAGGCTGGAGTGCAGTGGTGCAATCTCAGCTCACTGCAAGCTCCGCCTCCCGGGTTCACGCCATTCTCCTGCCTCAGCCTCTTGAGTAGCTGGGACTACAGGCGTGTGTCTAATTTAATTGTGCTAAGACGTGGGGGATTTGGGGCTTCGGCAGCTGGCATTTTCCTAACCAAACTGAGATCCTATTTGAACATTTCCTTTCGCTTCTAAGTTACCCAAATATTGCCAGCAATGTTTCCAAAGTATGTTTCAAGTACCTAGACCTATTTTTCCTGAGTCAGAGATTACTAGCTCTCTACCAAAAATCAGACCCCTTTTTTGCACACAGAGCTACTTGAAAACCTCCTTAGTGTTTATTTTTGTTTGTTCTCTGCCCACTACCCCCATAATTAGAATGTGAGTAGAAGTGATGTGTGCTGCTTCCAGGCCTAGCCCATGAAAACTTGTCCCATGTGTTTCTCCAGGCCCTTTACCCTTTTGGATGATTAGGATGCGGTCTCCTAGGGTGACTTTAGAAGTCACATGATGATAGCAGAGCAGCTATTGGCCTGGGGTCCTGAGTGACCTCATGGAGGAGCAGCTATTCTGCTGAGGACAGTACCAACCTAGGACAGTCATAGGAATGAGAAAGTAAAATAATGTTCTATGATAGGCAGTGATGGGGCTGTTACTTTGGAAAAGGTGCTCAAGGAGGGCATTTAAGGTGAATGACAAGAAGAAACCAGTTATGCAAAGAGCTAGGGGAGAAAGAAGTGTAGTCAGAAAGAGAAGTTATGCAAAAACTCTAAGGTGGGAAAGAGTTTGGTATGCTGAAGATGATCGAAGGCCAAAGTGGCTGGAACAGATAAGAAAAAGGAAATAGTATGTAGAAAAATGGCAGACAGGCTGGGTACAGTGGCTCATGCCTGTGATCCTAGCACCTTGGGAGGCTGAGTTGGTGGATCACCTGAGGTCAGGGGTTCAAGACCAGCCTGGCCAATATGGTGAACCCTGTCTCTACTAAAAATACAAAAATTAGCTGGGCATGGTGGCATGAGCCTGTAGTCCCAGCTACACAGGAGGCTGAGGCAGGAGAATCGCTTGAACCTGGGAGGTGGAGGTTGCAGCAAGCTGAGATCATGCCGTTGTACTCCAGCCTGGGCAGCAAGAGTGAAACTACATCTCAAAAAAAACAAAACAAAAGAAAACAAAAAAAAGAATGGTAGACAGGACTCAAATCATGAAGTCTGAATTTTATTCTAAGTTTGAAAGCAGAGTTTTGTTTTTGTTTTAAATTTATTTTATTGTTTATATTTGTTGTTATTTTTTATAGATTTAGGGGCCACAAGTACAATTTTGTTATATGGATACATTGTGTGGTGGTTAAGTCGGGGTTTTTAGCTTAGTCATCACCTAAATAATGTACATTGTACATAATTGGTAATATCTCAACTTCTTCTCCCTCTCACCCTCCCAGCTTTTGGAGTCCCTGAAGTCTATTATTCAACTCTCTATGTCCATGTGTACACATTGATTAGCTCCCACCTATAAATGAGAATGTGCAGTATTTGACTTTCTGAATTATTTATTTTAAGGTAATAGCCTCCAGTTCAATCTATGTTGCTGCAAAAGATACAATTTCATTCTTTTTTATGACTGGGTGATATTTCATGCTATATGAATATGTATGTATATATGTGTATATACATACATGCACACACACACACACACACATATTTTCCTTATGCAATCATCCATTGATGGACACTTAGGTTGATTCCATGGCTTTGTTATTGTAAATAGCACTGGGAGCAGTTTTGTTGGCTAATATGTTTATTTGTTTTATGCAGTGTTATGAGCTCTTTGGCTGCTGTGGGTGATGGATTGTGCTGGCGTAAGAGTGGAAGTCAATGGTCTTGTCAAGAGGCTGTGAAGTCGTTCATGTGATGGTTGGTGATGGCTCGTACTAGTTGGCAGTTAATGAGATGGAGAGAAGTACATAGATTTACATGTTTTGGAGGAGATGTCAGCAGGGCTTGTAGCTTAGGAAACATAGAAGGAATTACACATCTAGAAGGATATGGCTTGTGCATTATTGTGGTCCACAGGATCACACACAGGGTAAAGTATCTACATACTTCATTTGGAATTATCCCGCGTGAGAAATGTATCTATTTCCCCCCATTTATTTATTTATTCAGTCATTTATAACATTATATGCTTGTTGATATTTGTTTTATATTTTGAGTTAAAATCCAATAGTTTGTTATTGCAGCTTTAGCTCTTGGGAGTTCTTTTGGTTGGCTCCTGTGTTCATTCAATATACTCCCATCATTGTTGGTTATTTTGAGTACTTCCTAACTTTCTATCAGACTCCAGACTCCAGGATCATCTCAGACATTCCTTCTCACAGTCCTAGAATCAGCCGTATCCCCAAAGAGCCTTCTTTTATTGAAGATTCATATTAGAAACCAATGTCTGTGTTCAAGGGGTGCTTGTTGCTACTGGGGTGTCATTGCTCCTAGGCCCTCAAGAGCCTTTTCTCTAGCTCACAATTTTGTACATCAGCCATTTGAGCTGGGCTCAGCTGGGCGCTTCTACTGGTCTGGGCTGAATTCAGCTTATTTCATCTGGGCTTGCTTACACATCCATGATCATCTGGTAGGTTGTCACAGGCTTTATGATAGCCTCAGCTGGCAAAATTGGGATGCCTGTGACTTTTTCAATAAGGTCTTTCATCCTCCAGCACTCTAACCTAAGCTTGTGCACATGATGGCAGGATTCATTAGTAACAGGAACAAAAACACACAAAAATATATTGAGTTCTAGTATGGAAACTTACCCAGTAATGCCGCTGTTACACTGTATTGGCCAAAGCAAGTCAGAAGTTTAGCCTAAGCTCAAGGGGTAGAGAAATGAACCCCATACCTTGTTAGGAGCATCTGCAAATAATTGTGGTTATATTTATAATTTTATACCTATGAGTTATGTATAAATGGGAAACACTGGAGAAACTATTCCTGAGAGCTAAGATGAAACACAGTCCATCAGAATGGGGGATTTGTGGGGTCATGACCTCAAGGAATAAGGCAGGACTTCCAGTGCTGAATAGAGAGGTATTATACTCCTGATAAGAATAAAAATAAGATTGGCTGCTTGTTAAATTCCTCACTTAGTTTAGCCTAGAAATAGAAATTGATAGGTGGGAAGAGAAGCAAGGAAAGCACGTAAGATCAGACGCTTTAAGGAGAGATCCTAGAAAGGAAAGCTTGCAGTCATAGCTTTCTACAGCAGCCATGATCAAAATTGGCAGAGGTGAAGGAGAAAGAAGGGACAGAGACCATGATGGACCTTGCTGATCCAAGAGGGACTGAAATCTTTACAAGGCTTCCCTTTTGCAGAATTACTTGAAAAATTGTAAATGTTGATAACTATCCCATTTTTACACTTTTTTTCTCACAATTTACTTTGAATATTTTGTAAGGTGGTTCATGATCTACTTGGAAATATTTATGTCACCAAGAAAGCAGTCTGAAATGTGAGTAGACTGGCCACCTGCAGTCTCCCTTACTCCAACCTAAATTATCATTTAATATTTGGAGTACGTAACATTTGCTTAATGCGCATCAGGCTTGCTTCTAAACGAATGACCTGAGACCCTCAAATCCTTATTTTACTTTCCTATCCCTGCTTCTTATTCTATTTTCCTAAAGAAACTGTATTTCAAGGAGAATTTATCCTTCAAATGTCATTGAATCTATCATTATGTGATTACTTCTAAGATAGTAAATACAAGAAATTGTTTGTGGCACATACTGTTCCTGTGGAAAACCAGTTGTACACAGCGAAAGAGGATTTTACCTCTGGTGTTTTAAGATTAGCACTGAAGATATACTGAAGCTCAGAGTTCTGAATCCACTTAGCCATGAGCCACCAGAAATCTTTAACTGTTGAAATGTTAGTGCTTTCATTGAAAGAGGCATGAACTCTGGTTCCCTTTGTGAGAATATAGTGCAATGACCTCAGGGTCTCAGAGCTTCTAAATATGTAATTATAATAAGCAACTCATAAAATACCAGTATTCCTATTTTTTATTAACAGCCATTTTAGCTCACTGCATGTTTATTTGAAAGATCATGAATAAGCCAACCAAGACCAGCCCAGACACCCTTTAATTCATCTATATTGCCTTAGACTTTTCTACCATTCAATTTTCTTAAAACATATAATTCTAGTGGAATTTATCTTTGAAACTCTCAAGTTTAACAATGAAACATAACCAAAAATTTTAATGTAGACCTTTGAAGGAAAAAAAGGAATACAAATGAGCATCATTAGATTTCTGGTTCAACAGGAGATTGGACAACTCAATGTAATTCTAGTGCTTTTCAATCTCCAACTAAAAGATAGTGGAAAAGAAATAAAGAGATAAGAAAAGGCAAATTGAAAACAAAATTTTGAAAGATGGAAAACTTTATGGACAAGTGGAAATAAATACTTTTGCTCAGTTGTTTTGCTCAGTTATATATTTTATCCTTACTAACTGTAAGTCAACAGACAAGAAAATGATCACAAATATGACTTTTTCTTATAAATCCTAAACAATCTGGAATATTGCCAATCATATAAATGGGAAACTGAGTCACAAAGGGATTTAGGATTTATAATTACAGAATATCAAAATGTTTGAGGCGATTACAAAAGTCAAATATTCAAAATCTACAATTTCAATTCTTTTTGTATGTAGAGATTGAGTAGTATGAGTACAGTTAGAGCTAGGATTGAAATTTAAATATCAGAAACAATAAAGAGAATACACACATAGTGAGTTGCTATGTGGTTGAGAGGTTAAGCTTGCTGTTGGTAGTGGCATGGAATGTTGATTCAATATTAAGAATAATTTTAACAATTGAAGTTTTCCTAAAATGGAGTGGCTGACTTCTGAAGTAGCAAGCATCTAACCACTGAATGTATTAGAAGGTCTTGCTATGATCAATGGAAAGCAAGACTAGATTACTCATAATGTCTTTTCTAAATCCATACTTACCTAATTCCAATGTAATTGGTCTAACCAAGAGCAGAGAGCTAGTTAGTATAGAACTTTTCTCTTACATCATCCTGGCTCTTACTTGACCATATGGTTCAGCTAAGAATCCTGAACATTGTGGCATTAAACACATTTCCCCAGCCTTCTGTATCGATGTTATGGTGTGGTATTCCAGATTGTACTCACCCAAATCAATTTTTTTTCTTCCATTTATCTCCCATCTCGATAGCTCAGGCCAGAGACCTAAGAGACATTCTTGATTTTTCCATTTGCCTCACCCTAACATCAATCCACAAGCAAGTCCTATTTTTCTTACTTCCAAATTACATCTCAAATTCATTTATTTCTTTCCATCTCTATTCAAATTGCCATCAACTCTTATCAGAACTACTAAAACAGTCTTGTAACAGGACTCCTTATTTTAACTCTTTTCCTGTATAGTACATTCTCCAGATAGAAGAAAGATGGCCTTTCAAAAAGCATAAATATAATCATTCCCTTCAATTTCTGGGTTTCAATCAACCTTAGAATAAAAATCTATTTCACAAATTTCTCTATAAACTGGCTCCTGTTTTCCTCCTCAGCCTCCACTCATGATGCACCCCCTCTTGGTCACTTTGCTTTAGTCACATTGACCTTTTTCTGTTCTTCTAATCCTTGCCCATCTTGGCCTTTGCATCTTCTCTTCCTTCTTTCTGTTCAGGACGTTCACTGCTCCCACTTCCTTCCTCAAGCCCCATCTCCTCCCTTGACTTGATCATCCTCATTCTTCGGATCTCAGCTCACATGACACCTCTTCTGAGGGGACTTCCCTCATCGCCTCTTCACTACAACCTCTCTCAGTTGCCCCAACTCATCACTTTATCTCCTTCATAAGAAAACCCGTGTGCATATGTTTTCATTTGTTTGTTCAATTGTGTGTACACTTGACTAATTTTCTATCTCTATAACCGAACGTGAACTTTAACAGGGATCTTGTCTATATTGTTTAATTCTTGATTTAGAAAAGTGCTTGACATATAATGAGCACAATCATACACATATATGATGTTTATATTTAGTCACAGTTCATTTACTAAACTTAATTTCATGGTTCATGCCTAGCCTTAACTATCTAGAGTAACATATTTCTGAAGCATTCTCTATTGTCTTCCAAAAATAAGCCTTTACTAAATTGAGCCTTGAATATTTTCAGGCTCTTTTGGCCTGGATAAGAGAATAGGAAATGAGGGATAAAGAAAAGGACTTGGCCCATACACTCTACATGTTGGTAATAACCTGAAATATTAGTCATTCTAAAGATTTCAGATCCAAAGAAGCTCCCCATCTGTATTCTGTTTTTCAGTATTCCTTCCAACCTGATTGATTTCACCCTTATTGCTTAATTTTCATCATGATCATTACTTGTCATCTTTGGACAGAGAATGGTATCAGCACAGCAGTTTGTACAAGCTGCTGTCTACTGTCAAATTTGTTAATGTCCTTACTACAGGCATATAAAAACCTTCGTCCTCCACTGAGCTATCAAAGGCCTGCTATCTGTCAGCATGTCATCCAGAACAAAGCAACAAAGTCTTCATTCTTGTCTTGCAACTTGAAAAGCTGTTTAATATTGAACAATCCATGCAGCCTGTATGCTTTGTTAAGGCCTTATTTTTTCACCCAATTTTTTTCCTGTAACTCCTTCTCTGCCTCTAGATGTATAGAAACTTCAGTATGTTCTTCAAGAATGAGATGCAAGATAAATGAATGCCAATCAGCCCTTCCCTCAATTTATTTACGAATTCCCCTGGAGACTTTGATTTATTAATATCTGTAATTATATATGGATAATACAAATGCAAACTTCAGCCTAGTCCCTGTGCAGATAATTTAACACTACATTTTTCTAGGTTATTAATTAATAAAGTTTCACCATAGTTTTATAGATGTACTTGTAGAAATCAACATTCTAAACATTAGCTTTCATGATAACTTTTTAGAAAGTGCCTCTTGTATCTGAGCAACCATCGGACCCAAGAAAATCTTGAAATCTTGACTCTTTTCAGGGAATGAATTATTTTATTATAGTTGAATTCTCAGTTTGTTAAGGACTTGCCTAATTATGCATGTTACAAGTTTTAATATTAATTTAATAATCACAAGTTACAAAACACATTAAATACTTTCTAAAATATAGTATACTGAATATAAATAGATCCATATTTGTGACTTGGAATCATTGTTAACATTAATTCTCAAACTTTTAAAATAATACAATGATGCTCTTAGGCATTACTAACAAATTTAGGGATGTTTGCCTTGATACTAAATGGGCATCACAGTCCATGTCTTCAGAGATTTACATTCAAATGAGGGAGACATACAAGTTAATGTTGAAGTTTGACAAGTGCTCGAATACAGGGAGATGTAGTGTACTGTGGAAACTCAAAGGAGGAGGCACTTGACCCAGACTCCACAGTGGTGAGGGGTGTGTTTGTGTATTTGGATGTGTGTTGACCAGGGACATCACTGAACCTGAGTCCTAAAGAACGACTAGGAGTTATCCAGGCAACAGAGAGTTAGAAAATTATAGAAAAAATTTTGTTTTAGGTTCAAAACAGGCTTAGAAAGTTCTCAAGTCAAACATATGATCTTTTCATGTGCTGTAGTTTATTTACTTATTTCTCTCTTGCTGAGCCTTTGAATTTTTCTTTCCTTGTGCTTTACCTTTGCTTATGTCATTTTAGGAAAGTTCCTTTAGAAAATGCTAGACTCTCTTAGTCGTGAATTTTAGGAAAAAAAATTTGAAAAGTAAAAAATGAAGCAGATTAATCCACCTTTGGGCTCTAGACAGGACAGCTTAGGATATAGGTGCGCTACCAGACAATCCAAGTAAGAGACTCTGACGAGGATGGAGGAAAAACAAGTACACTGGCAGCCCTAATTTGGAGTTCATTTCCAAATTTGTAAAGGAATAAGAGAATAAGCTCTCTAGACAGATTGTTCTGGTTTTAATCCTAGTACTGTGATGATCTGTGTAATCTTGGTTACATTATTTAACATCTCCTTGCTTCAGTTTCCTTATCTCTAAAATGGAAGAAAAAAAAAATCCGTAATACCTTTTTTATAGGATTTATTGTCAGAGTTAGATGAGTCACCACTTGTAAATATTTGGCACTCAAAGGCTTTCAATAAATATTATATATTATCATTAGTGTGAGTTTTTTAAAAAAATGCTAATAGATGTAAACAATTCATTAATTAGTTATAGCCTAGTTCCTAGGACATAGTAATGACTTTATAAATTGCCTTCCTCTTCCTCTTCCTCCTCCACTTTCTCTTCTGCTTTTCCATTATCATCCCTTTTCAAATGCGTATTTTCAGCCAGTATGTTGTTGCTTTCTTTTCTTTTCTTTTTTGGGACAGATTGTTGCTCTGTCGCCCAGGATGGAGTGCAGTGGCGCAATCTCAGCTCACTGCAACCTCTGCTTTCCGAGTAGGCAGTTATCCAGGCAGTAGGAGTTATCCAGGCAACAGAGAGTTAGAAAATTATAGAAAAAAATTTTGTTTTAGGTTCAAAACAGGCTTAGAAAGTTCTCAAGTCGAACACATGATCTTTTGATGCACTGTAGTTTATTTACTTATTTCTCTCTTGCTGTGCCTTTGAGTTTTTCTTTCCTTGTGATTTACCTTTGCTTATGTCATTTTAGGAAAGTTCCTTTAGAAAATGCTAGACTCTCTTAGTTGTGAATTTTAGGAAAAAATTCACAAGGAGAGATTCTTGTGCCTCAGCCTCCCGAGTAGCTGGGATTGCAAGTGTGTACCACCACACCTGGCTAACTTTTTGTATTTTCAGTAGAGATGGGGTTTTGTCGTGTTGGCCAGGCTGGTCTCGAGTTCAGGGCCTCAAGTGATCCTTTCACCTTGGCCTCCCAAAGTACTGGGATTATACGCATGAGCCACATGCCTGGCCTGCTTCTTTTTTCTTAACAGAATCATAATCATGTGTCAATGTTTAGTTTAATACTGAATTGTTCTCTGTTTCTTTGTTGACTTTCTATTTTTCCTTCCTAACTGCAAGTTACTTGATGATAGGAACTAGGCTTAATACTTATAGTATATTGTGCTAAGAATATAGCAGATGCTCTGTAAATATTTGTTGAGCGGTTTATGAAATAGTTGGTAGTAGTCAAATACTATTGATTAAGAATGGAAAAATATTCTGTCATTGATGAAGTTTCTTTAATTTTTTTATATGCTGAGTATTTATCTAACAGTTAAGAATGTTTCAGGACTTGATGGAAGATTTCCAGGTCAATAGCTTTAGTTTTTATCTACACGTGATAGAAACATTGGTCTTATCTTTAAGATAAAATATTTTTATCTGATCCTAATATTCTTATTTAGAAAACAGACATTAGCCTTCTTCATTTTGGTCTTTGATTGTGCACTCAGAAAGTAGGGTCTTAGGAACATTAAAAAATAATGTCCATGTTTCAGTGAATTCTAATTTTGTTGGTTGGTAAGCCCATGATGTTATCACTAAATTTAAGTGATTTGTGGTTTTTTTTTTTCTCTACAACTCCGGTAGATTTTTTCTTACAAAAAGTACAGTTCTGCCAAGAAGTTTCTAGAAGTACTACACATATTCAACTGCATAATCTGATTGAATTTAAGTAAGTCAGCATCAACCATTCCTACTTCCATTTTCCAGATGAAAAGCAGATTGGGTGATTGACATAGAAAACCTGCAGACTTAGGTGCTGAACACAATATCAACAAATAGCTTCAAAATCAAATTCTTCTTTACTAGATTTGTAAACTCAGTCTTCTACTTTCCATTTTTATTACTTCCAGATAATTATTCTGATTCAACTTGAGTTTAGCAGTTGGCCTTTATTTCTGTTTTAGCAAATGATTGCTTCCTGGCATTTCAGGCATTAAGTCACACAGATCTTGCCTAGTGATTGCTCACATATGTCTTACCCCTCCTTCATTCAGTTCAACAGAAGCACACACAGATACACAAAAGTAAGTCAAGGAACATGTGTTCAGTGCAATTGTCCAGGTCTAGTCTTTGCTTCATCTTGACCTAATGCTGATCATCTTTGTTCTTGTTTCATTGGCTCAAAAGTATTGGCTTCTTACAATTCGCAGTTGCAAAAATATGAAACCAACCTAAGTGTCCATCAATCAACAAGTGGATGAAGAGAATGTGGTATATATACACCATGGAATACTATTCAGCCACAAAAAGGAACTAAATAATGTCCTTTGCGGTGAGTTGGTTGGAGCTGGAGGCCGTTATTCTAAGGGAAGTAACTGAGGAATGGAAAAAACAAATATCGCATGTTCTCACTTATAAGTGGGAACTAAGCTATGAGGATGCAAAGGCTTAAGAATGATATAATGGACCTTGGGAACGTGGGGTGGGAGGAAGAGTGGAAAAGTGGGTGAGGGATAAAAGACTACATATTGGGTAGAATGTACACTGCTTGGGTGACAGGTGCACCAAAATCTTAGAAATCATCAAACTTATCTATGTATTGAAAAACCACCTGTACCCCCCAAAACTATGTTTTTAAAAAAGAAAGAAATCTAATTATTTAAAAAGGTTTGGCTTCCAATTTTTTAAAAAATGTGCTTTTGAGGACCTATGCAGACTCTCCTCACTGCTTTGAATTTGGTTTCCTTTGTGTCTTCCCATTTGGTTCTTGACTCTGTGTACTTTGACTGCTACTTTGGGAGAAAGACACCTTCCCCCAGCTCTTCCAGACAACCCCACCAGCGTAGTCAACCACTGATTATTTCCTTCTGCCTCCATCAGAGAAGAGGGATTTAGATGCACTTTTCATTTTTGCTAGTTGGGTTTCTAAGCAGGTAAATGGTCAATACTATTTCTTAACTAGTCATAACTCTTTGATGCATAGCTGAAAAATACATTCTAATTTATTTTATTTTAAAATTTTTTCTTTGTATGCAGGCTAAAAACTATGTCTACATATGTACATAGTTTAAATGGTTCAATGAATTAGTAAAATCAGACAAATAGGAAAAAGACAATCATTCTGGTTCTATGACAGACATTAAAGTGATGGAATGGCTGGTGCCTTACTAAAAAAAAGCTTTCAACCACATGTATGTAAAAGCTAATCATTTGGTGAGGTAGTCATAAGCATATATAATTGACCTCATAACAATACAACTTTTTTGGGGCTGTCTTATCAATAGCAAATTGACCTAAAAACTTGATAAAAGTTTAGTATTCATGTTTTTAATCAGTATTCAGTCTCAATAGAGGAGAGTTTAACATTTCTATGGAATTTATTGCACCATACAGAGTGATAAACCGTTCAAATATAATGTTGGCATTTTCTTAAACATTATTTAATTGACTAAAATAGTTGAAGAGTTATGAAGATATATCCTAAGACTTTTATTTCTAATAACATGAGACCACAATCTTTTTGTGGCACATATTTAAAGTGCATTGTGTCTTTTATATACAGATTATGCTTAGAGAGATTATAGAGAGAGGGATTTTTTCCCTACTCAGACCAATTCACATCAGATAATAATTCCAGAAACTAGCATTTTGTAACTTACTTAACCTATCCCAGAAAAGCATAAACTATGTGCTAATGCAGATGTTCAGAGGGGAAAATGTTGTATTTTTTCTGAGTGAGGAGGAGGAAGCGACAACCATCGAGATTTAAATGATAGCATGGGATAGTAGCTACTACAATTAAAAGTCATTTACGGGCTTCCTTGTAACAAATTATCATTGAACAGCCCTGTCAGGAAAACATTAACAAAGCAGTATTTGGATGAGTGACTTGATCTATGGGATGAAAGGGTAGAAGGGTAGGGAGGCTAAGGAATAGACCATTACTCCAAAGAATAGGGAGAATAGCTTTGTAAACAGCTTGTTCAGACATAGGTGGCAGACATCTTTTATAAAGGAAACCAAGTGATATTATGCACAATCCTAAAGTTAGAAGTAATATGCCATTTTATTTTTGGCTTAGGAAGTTCTAAACTACACTCATTTTAATTCATTTTCCTTTACTACCTTTGAATTCATACAGAATTCTTTTTTTTTTAATTTTTTTTTTTTTTTTTTTGAGAAAGAGTCTTGCTCTGTCGCACAGGCTGGAGTGCAGTGGTGTGATCTCGGTTCACCACAACCTCCGCCTCCCGGGTTCACACCATTCTCCTGCCTCAGCCTTCTGAGTATGCTGGGACTACAGGTGCCCGCCACCACGCCCGGCTAATTTTTTTGTATTTTTAGTAGAGACGGGGTTTCACCGTGTTAGCCAGGATGGTCTCGATCTCCTGACCTCGTGGTCCACCCTCCTTGGCCTCCCAAAGTGCTAGGATTATGGGCGTGAGCCACCGTTCCTGACCCAAAATTCTTGAGTAGTACAGTATTTCGAAGTATGATGAATGATATATTAGTCTTACTTTATAAATTTAAACAATAGACAAAAGCCAACATAACTAAATGAAAATGTAAAAAAATTTCGATCAAACAATACCCTTGGGAAGCTATAGGTTTGGAGAAGTAGTTTGGTAATTCTTTTGATATCAATTAACTGAATAGATGAGATAATGTGACCAAATTCTATAATGGAAGCATACTTTGACCATCCAGGCAGTTTTTCTCTGAAACTGGTCTCTTGGTTTCTTTGAGTCTGAAGGGAATTGATTAAGAGAATAAATTTTTACTTATGTTTTCTTGCTGAAAACATATCTGACACTTTAAGATTTTCATTGTATCAATGAATTTTGATTTCCATCCTTATTATGATTGTCATTATAGTATTATCTTACATTAATAAAAAGTATTAACCATTGTGGAGAAATAAGTGTTCAAATGTATGACTCTTAGACTATACATAAATATATAATTTATCCTCTTGACCACCAGAGGTCTAACTGCTGTTTGCAAAACCACGTATCTTGGCAGGGGTTGAAATATAATTACTTTTTCTAGGATTTTTTTTTTTTTTTTTTTTGAAACAGAGTCTTGTTCTGTCGCCCAGGCTGGAGTGCAGTGGCATGATCTCGGCTCACTGCAACCTCCGCCTCCCAGGTTCAAGTGATTCTCCTGCTTCAGTCTCCTGAGTAGCTGGGATTACAGGTGCGTGCCACCACTCCTGGCTAATTTGTATATCTTTAGTAGAGATGGGGTTTCACCATGTTGGTCAGGCTGGTCTTGAACTCCTGACCTCGTGATCTGCCTACCTCGGCCTCCCAAAGTACTTGGATTACAGGCGTGGGCCACCGCGCCTGGCCTGGATATTCTTTAGTTTCTTCATCCACCAAAATTCTTCTGCCAAGGAAATAGTATGACAATCTTTTTGCCAATAATTATTGGTTCAGTTATTTTAAATATAATTGTTTAATATATATTGTTTAACTACTGTGTAACTATAATTATTTAGTAACTCCTACTGTTATTATTGATTTTGATTATCTGATATAAGAAAGAGAGCCTAAGGTACACAACTTTCTTTATTATCTTGGTTCCTTATTCTTAACCTTTTTTGTTTTTTTTTAAACTTCACCGGCCACTTGAGGAAGCTAATGAAATCCTGAGCTCCCACTCCAGAAAAGTACATATGTCTTCATATAGGCAGAACTTCAAATCTAGTTTCTGGAACTTGGCAGATCACTGAAACTCAATCATGGCTCAGTGGACTCCAGTGAACTCCTGCTCTGTGAGTTTAAGGTTCCATCTGTATGCCCTCTGCACTCAGCAGTGTCAAGCCCACAGCTTCTTGTTAGAAGTTCCTGTGACTCTTTGCAGGAGTGTGCATAGCCTATGTGTAGGACAGGTCAGATGCCAGGATGTTAATACCCTAATAACTCCCAACCAATGATGGATAAGAATTGGTGGATGAATACCCCAGTTTCTTCACTCTTCAGGTAGAACAACTTGAAAGCATTTTCTATACCATCTTCCAGGTCCTAGCAAGGGATGCTATATGGCTATGTGATAACTTGCTTACTAAAGATATCTGTTATTAACTTTCTTCCCTGCCCTGCCCCACTTCTCTACTCTCCAAATGATGCCTCTTGGGATCAGCTGACAAACAATCTACTTGCAATTAAATCCTAGTCTTGGGGTCTGCTTTTGGAGGGATTAAATTGTTGGAATTATTACTGCCATTATAATAAATCAACTCAAAACTTAGTAGCACAAAACAAGAATTTTATTATGCTCGTAAATTCCCTGGGGTAGGAATTCAAGCAGAGCACAGTGGAAATGGTTTGTTTCCACTACATGATGTTTGGGGCCTCAAGTGGGAATACTCAAAAGCTGGGTAGACAACTGGGGGTTGGAATCATCTGAAGGCCCCTCACGCATGTATGTAAAGCCTGGGCTGGGATGACTCAATTGCTAGCTCAGCTGGAAGTAGTGACCTGAGTACCTACATGAGGCGTCTCCAGATGGAAGTTTCGAGATGCTCACTCATACATGGTGTCTAACTTTCCCCAAAATGAGTGCCCCAAGAGGACCCGGTAGAGGCTACACTGTCCTTTTGGATCTAGCCTTTGTATTTGTACAACATTGCTTTTGCTACACTCTTTTGGTTACAAGGCATTTGATAAATTGGCCTAGATTTGGAGGGAAAAGTGTCAGATAATTTGCATATATATTTTAAAACTTCCGCATGAACTAAGACAGAGGTATTGCATAAGTAGGATTTGTTCCTGAATGAAGAACATTCTCCCCTCAAACAGTTGGTTTCTAATGGAAAACATTCTCCTTGCAAAGCTTTGGTGAGTTGATATGGAAAGCTAGATTTACAATTTGTGTTCTTCTATTATTCTACCAAGTTTATGATTTTTATTAGCATGGGTATAGCTATAAATTAGCTGAGAAATGTTATGTCAAATGCATTTTTGTTAATTTAATCAAATTTAAAATGCACTAGGAGAGTGCATTATTTAAATTAAAAATTCAGTAAATTATTTTTTAATGGGAATAATAGAGTAAATTTGCATATATAGAATTTTCTTGAAGCTGATCATATATGTAATTGCATTTTTTGAACATGAGTTGTAATTTAGTACTTTAATAAATATAAATCTGGTCTTCCATTCTAAGTTTAAATTAGTCAAGAAAAACAAGAGAAGGAAACACAGGACATTATTGTATGATGGATAAGAGGTCTATGTGTATTCAGTAGTACTGAGTTCATGTCAAAAGAAGCTTAGAAAACCGCCTTCTCTTTTTATAGAAAAATAAAAGGATAAACTATAATATTATATAGTATTGGAGCTGAAATAGAACCTAAAAAGTCTTTTAGTTCAAACTCAACCTTTTTTAGATGGCATTTTGAGGTGTTAAATGTGTATACCTTTAACACACATAATTACATGTAGAAATATTTATAGATATGCATATGTACATAGATTAACGCATGGTTTTTTCTTTTTTTTTGCTTGCCAAATGAGATAGCCTAAAATAAATGCCATTCCAGTAGCAACAAGCACAACTAGTACCCAGATCTTGGTTTCTCATATCTTTCTGCAATATAAGTATTCAGGATTCTTTATAGAAATGACTGATTCTATGACTCTGACAATAAATATGCCAGATGAGCCTGGAGCATCTTGCAGTGCCAGAGAGTAAAGAAATGTTCACAAGAAGAGAAAGAGAGAGAAACAAAGCCTCACATATTGATGAGGATGTATCAAAGGAGGAACATAGATGTCAACTGAATGAGCACCTAAGGGCCAAAGCTGAAACCCTCTGGGAAGCAAAATAAATAATATATATTGGATTACAACCTAAAGTATAAAATAAATATTTATGTGTCCGTATTGATATAAATACATGATTAAATGAATTAATAAATGGGGAAGAAGAGACAAATCTCCCATGTAGAAGAATTCCAAATAAATTATGTAGATATTCAGCCCTGAAGAAGGGAGAGAAAAGCTCCATATTCTTTAGGTGTGGGCTGCATGTGGTGAATTCCTCCCAAAGTCTACAGTATGAAAAGGGAGAAAAGAGTAACTTTGCAGTGGAAAGACCTGACAAACACTACCTCAGCCAGGTAATCAAGGCCAACATTTACAGTCATAAATCATCTTGATAGCATGGACCCTTGATAAGATGTGATAATAGCACTACACTCTGTGGTTTCCTACCAATCACCCATAACTCTGGTCTTATAATGAGAAAAGGATCAAACAATTTTCAATACTAGATATCCTACAAAATACATGACCAGTACTCCTCAAAAATGTCAACTCATCAAAAATAAGGAAAGTCTGAGAAAGTGACGCAGCTGAGAGGAGCCTAATAAGATAACGATAATTAAATGTAATGTGGTTCCCTGGATGGTGTCCTGTAACAGAAAAAGGAAATTAGGTAAAAACTAAGGAAATCAAAAGAATCTATGGAATTTACTTAATAATATAACAATATTGGTTCATTAACTATAACAAAGGTATCCAAAAGTAACCAGAAAATTGATGAATTTATCTTTCATTTTGTGCATTCTTAAGGGATTGAATATTAAGCTGTGTTTCCACCAAGCTAAAAACTTTGATGAAACCTGGAACATTTAATCAAATTTTATATGCTTCCAAAATGATGTAATGATAAAGATTTTGCAAATATTTAGATAAATGCGCTTTTGCATTTTAATGAGCTTTTTGTCATTGTAGAGTGATAGCTTGTGTATACCGGAGGAAAGTTTCCTTTTCCATGATACTTTTCTTTCTACTTTCTTCTTTTTCCCTTTCTAGCATCTATAGAATTTTTTTTAATAGCCAACATTCTAAGGCCTTCCTCTTGTTTAGCATCCTATTCAAATATTCTCAAAGTTCAATTCTGGCTAATCCAAACTAGGACAGATACTCTCATGAATAGAATGAATCAGGGTCAGGCACAGATCCTCCAATTCCCTTTCTTTCTGCCAGGAGATTAACATTGAATCTGTGAACTCTCATCTGCTATATTCAGTTAGGATGTGACCTATTATTATTACTATTATATATTTTTTGCAAAAAAAAAACAAAGGGAATATATTGGCTTTTATACCTGATCTTATTCAGAAAGGGTAGATGCTGGGAAAGTCCACGTCTATTCTCTGTTCCTTAGCCTACTCATTTGTAAAGTAGAGCCACCTGTAAATAACATAGGTAATATCATGAAGCAACATCTCAGCAGGCATGTAATGGGATGACACACTATGAGCTGGTATTTATAATAAAATGAAATAATTTAAGATGATATCCATGAGAATATTTGAGGAAGGTCTATTGCTCTGAAATAAGAAAATAGAGTACATTTTGTTATGAAGTCTCTGATTATGTGATTGATGGCAAGAAAGACATTCCCCATCAGGGAGTAAACCTGCTGGACTTGATGGCATTCTGTTAGGTTCCTTGGACAGGATTTGACAGTTTTGCAATGTTAAAAAATGCTCATTTGCATCTTCCTCAAGAACATCTGGAGAGGAAAAAAAAGTGGCTTTGGAAAGCTGTTCAGCTCACAGAAAACTGAGGCTATGCAAACATCCCAGCTTTCCCTTGCTGGCCATCACTCACACCCAATGTATTTATTCTTTTTCTCCGACAAGAGAGCAACATTTGGAATAGCTCAAGCTGCTGAGTTAATCATCAGGCCGCCACAGGGATGTTTTAAGCTGCAGGCCTGTCCACCTCCTGTGATTTGGAGTCAACACAATCACCGGGCTGAGTAAGGCAAACTCTGCAGCCTGTCCAATGTGAGGGAAGAAGGCAGATATGCTACCTTTCCAATTTCCTGTCTCTGTTTAAAGCATCAACATCAAGGGCAGGAACTTGCCAGTATTTCGATGAGTCATTGGCTTTACTTCGGTTTCAAATCAAGAACATTCTTACCTAACATGGGTGCACACCTCTTCTCTCCCTTTTATCTAGTGGTGTAATTTTACTCTGTTTCCAAATACAATGGAACTCAAAAGGTGGCTTGTACCTTGTTATTCTTGAGTTATGATAGGACCTTATGAGGTCATTCTATAGAACCACAACTTCTTTTCTCCTTGCCAACACTTACCAGTAACACTTCACTTCCAAAGATATCTTACCTCTGATTTCTTCCTTATGGTCCCAGGTAAAGCTAGGCTCTGAGGTCTGATGATCAAAAGAATGGTTGCTTATCATATTTAAGTAGACAAACATAGATATTTGTTTTGCTCCATGGCAGCAGCTAGTCCAGATATACTACTGATATGGTTTTGCTGTGTCCCCACCCAAATCTCATCTTGAATTGTCATCCGCATTATTCCTGTGTGTCTAGGTAGAGACGTGGTGGGAGGTGATTGGATCATGGAGGTGGTTTCTCCATGCTGTTCTCATAATAGTGAGGGAGTTCTCATAAGATTTGATGGTTTTATAAGGGACTTTTCTCCCTTTGCCACTCAGTCTTTTCTCTCTTCTCTCTCTTGCCTGCTGCCATGTAAGACGTGCCTCTTCCCCTTCTGCCATGATTGTAAGTTTCCCGAGGCCTCCCTAGCCATTGCAGAATTGAGTCAATTAAACCTCTTTCCTTTATAAATTACCCAGTCTCATGTATGTTTTCATAGCAGTGTGAAAATGGACTAATACAATGACATATTTACATTCAGCTAAAAAGTCAAATTCAAATATAAGTCTTGAACTGGCGGGTAAAATGTTGCCCAAAACATGGTTTTCTTCAGCAGTAAAAAGTCCTAACACACAGTCTAGTTGGGGAAAATCAAATAAGATGGTGATTTGCCTAAAGCTGGCTTCTGCATTATTTAAACTCTACCAAGAAGTTAAGAGAGAAGTTGGAATAAAGATATGTCTAGGGGAAAAATGTTTGCTTGTTATGCTTGGGAAGTATGTAAGTATACATTTTAGCTTGCAAAACAGGATTATGGTAATAATAATAATAGTAATAAATGATTGGGGCCCATGGCTCGAACAACCTCATTTATCAAGGTGAAGCTATGGGGGCAATTACTCATAAAAATTGGTGTCAACATTTTTGTAAGCTCTCTGAAGACTTCACATAGCATAGTTTAAACCAAAGATATTTGGAGGACCTGCGTATCCAGATAGCTGCTTCAGACTTTCACTTTATTTTATAAGGGCCAAAGAGTCAACCTGCTAGTTTCTACTAATAGGTCAGGAAGACCAAGGTACCTGGAGTGTCAACTGAAGAAAGAGTTAAAGGAATCATCGCTAACTTTCCTTTCCAAGTGACAATGACATTGTAAGTCATTTGAAATGCTTTAAGAAAATCTCAAAAGCATTTTTCTTTTCTCCTATTTCTCTGATGTCTCAATTTCTCTGATTTTTTTAAAGTCTCCCATTATGGCACTGTTGTTTAATGTACTAGAATTAAAGTATTAGAGCTTATAAGGCTGCACCAGATTTTTGCTGTTAAAAAATGGTTCCCTTGTTTTGGTTCATCTCAGTTAACTGAAAAGGTCCTCACCTAATCATGTCCTCTTGTCATTGAAAGGCAGAAAAGGAACTAACACAGCAGAGAACACTATTTTCAAAATCAATCCCTCATATTTAAAAGAGAGATCTATCCTCTCCAGGAGGTGCAAACATAGTCATTAGAACTAAGACCTCCATCTTCTCAAGTGCCCTTCCATTTTTTCATACTGAATGGAGCTTTCAGGTGCCTGCTGGGCTAACTAAAATAGATGGCTTTTTTCCTTTAATGGGGTTCAGTTTGATTTTCTGTCATTGTGGTCAATGACACAAGACCTGTTCTGCTGTCTGAATGCTAGGGGAACATCATTTTCCCTCACATCATTCGAGCTGCATTATTTCCACTCACCTGCCAGCTCAGTGTCCTTCTTTGGGGGTGTTCTTTAAGCCCAGCCTTGACATTTCACAATTTCTCGAGTATATAATGTACATGAGATCCAGTGGGCAATGGTACTTCTTATTTCTGAAACTCTTCTATGATATAAAGGAAAACTGAGTCTACTTATTTATTATGAATTGACAAATGATCTTTGTATATATTTGTGGGCTACAATGTAATGTTTTGATCTAAGTATACCTTGTAGAAATATTAAATCAGGCCGAGACGGGCGGATCACGAGGTCAGGAGATTGAGACCATCCTGGCTAACATGGTGAAACCCCGTCTCTACTAAAAATACAAAAATTAGCCGGGCATGGTGGCACGCACCTGTAGTCCCAGCTACACGGGAGGCTGAGGCAGGAGAATGGCGTGAACCCGGGAGGCGGAGCTTGCAGTGAGTCGAGATCGCGCCACTGCACTCCAGCCTGGGCGACAGAGCGAAACTCCGTCTCAAAAAAAAAAAAAAAAAGAAATATTAAATCAAGCTACTTAACACTACCTCACCAACTTACCATTTTTTATGGTGAGAATGTTAAAAATCTATTCTTTTAGCAATTTTTAATTATACAATGTTATTAACTGTTGTCATCATATAGTATAATAGATCACTAAAACATATTCCTTCAGTCTAAGTGAAACTTTGTACCCTTTGATCAACATCTCCCCTTTCCCCATGCCTCCTGCTCCCCGCCAGCCTCTGGTAACCACCTTTCTACTCTGTTTCTATGAGGTTCACTTTTTTAGTTTCCACATATAAGGCAGATTATAGTATTTGTCTGTCTGTGTTGGTTTATTTTACTTCACATAATGTCCTTCAGGTTCCATCCATGTCATGAATGACAGAATTTTTTTCTTTTTTAAGGCTATAGAGTATTCCATTTTATATATATCACATTTTCTTTATTTACTTATTTGTTGATGGACACTTAGGATGATTCCATATCTTGGCTATTGTGAATAGTGCTGCAAAGAACATGGGAGTGCAGACATCTGTTTAACTTATTAATTCCAATTGCTTTGCATATGTACCCAGAAGTGGGTTAGCTGGATCGTATGTCTTTTGAGCTATGTCTTCTACTTTATGTTTGATCTCTGAGATAAGGAAAACAAACAATGTTCCCCTGAAATTTCCTTCTACTGCAATCTGTGCAAGGTCTATCTGGAAATGGCCTAAAGTATCCCCAGGTTCACGCTGAATATTTGAATTGGTTGTTCATTCTTACATATCAACATGGATCTCCACTTGGCCATAGTTTTCAAGTAGCACCCAACTGTCCTTAAAACAGGTACCATCTGGGTATCAGATTCAACTCTTGGGCCCAACAAGCCAGATAAATGAAGAGAGGCATTTCCAGTACTTTCAACAACTCAAACCACACTCTTGAAATTACAGCCTCCATAGTCACAGCTCCCTGAGTACCATGTATTAAGCATTTAGGATATGGTAGGCATGGAGCCTACCATGAGTGCTTTACCTGCTTTGATTCCATTTGACCTTAGCAACAACACTAGGGGCAGGCTTTTTTTTTTTTTTTTTTTTTGAGATGGAGTCTCGCCCTGTCACCCAGGCTGCAGTGCAGTGGTTCCATCTCAGCTCACTGCAACCTCTGCCTCCTGGGTTCAAGCAATTCTCCTGCCTCAGCCTCCCTAGTAGCTGGAATTACAGGCATGTGCTACCACGCCCGGCTAATTTTTGTACTTTTAGTAGAGATGGGGTTTCGGCATGTTGGCCAGGCTGGTCTCAATCTCCTGACCTCAAGTGATCCGTCCGCTTCGGTCTCCCAAAGTGCTGGGATTACAGGCATGAGCCACCACTCCTGGCCAGGAGCAAGCATGTTTTAAACCCTGTTTTACAGGTAGGAAGATTGAGGCTAATGAGACAATGACATTTTCCTAAAGTCACCAGTAGTGGCATAACAAATTTTAAACTCAGATTTTCTGAGTCCAAAGCCTTAATCTCTACAACATACCACACCTCTTCCACTTCTACCCATCCTGCAGTTTTCAATGAAGCTAGACAGGGGAGGGAGTTGGAGATGGAGTGGTTGGAAGAAAACAAAGTAGGCTGTTTAGATTCTGATGACATTAGACCTTAAGTTAGGTTTTATGAAGAGGTGAAGGAGACAAGAAAGTAAAACAACTGCTCCTTTCTTGCAACGCTCTTGGAAAGCACAGAAATTGCATTTTTCCCCCAAAGGTCACTGAGCAAATGTCCAAATATTCTCTAGGGATAATTTGACCTTGACCCTTAGAAGGAGGGAGGATCTCTCTAGAGAGTAAGTCTCTGGTGCTCTCAACATTTTGGATAAAGCTTGTAATGTCTGTGTCATGACAATGTCAAGGGTGTAGGGATATCATTTGTCATGTGTCTCCCTCAGGTCTCTTCTGCGGGTGCCTAGGTGCAGCAGAGATATCTTCTCTTTAAATGGTTCTGAGTAATGTTGCCAAGAAGTACACTTACATTATTTAAAGACCTTTTAAAAGAGAGCCCTCCCCCTTAAGCACACTCTTGGCTGATAATCCCCATTGAACAATCTGCTGCTATATTTCTTGGAGACATTATTTAAAATCCTTTTAAAGTGCAGTTCTTCCTACTTCCCGACGATTGATACCTGTGAAGGACTTAATAGTATTGGGGAGGGGGGGAGGAGGATGACTGCTACTTAAAAGGATTTAAAAGAAAGTTGCAGCCATATTTCATAACCAGGATGCCTAAAAGCCTACAGTAAGGGAAAAGAGAGCTGCTGCTTCCTTTTCTGAGCATGCTTTGGGTTATATTCCTTCTGGGTTTTCCTTTAGTTGCTCAGAGAACCACCAAGATGACTGACCAGTCTGTAGTGGCTTTACGTCCAGAACACAGTGACCATTTGGTGAGACTGAAAAAGCCCTTAGAATTTTCTGAAGTAGAGGATGACAATGCAAATGTCTACAGAAGCCAGGGAGAGTGTTATTGCATTGTTATAAATGAAACAATCTATACAGGTCCCTATTTTCTTATCTCTATCCCACTTGATTGTTATAGCATATATAACACATATATATATATACACACACATATGCTATATATATACACACACCTATACATATAGCATATAATATATACATATACATACATATATATGCACATGTATATTTAAAGAAACATACATATACCTGGTTTTAGGTGGCTTAAAAATAATACATATGCCTGCTATTTATTGAGCACTGTGTTTTCTGCACGCTTCTTAAACTTTATATGTAGTGTCTCATTTATTACTCACATCAATAATACAAAGTATACACTCTTATTATCTTCCTTTTACAAATTAGAAAATGGAGGTACTGAAAGATAAGTCACTCAGCTGGTGAAGGGGACAGCCAGGATTTCCACTCGAGTATCTGGGTGCTCACCTTAGGGTACAAGTTATTAATTATTACACTTTTCTGAGTGCCCAACCATCCTTTGTAAGGGTTAAAAAATAGTCCGTGGGGGAGTTGGCAGATGAGCTGCATCCTTTTGATGCTCCTTTCCATTGTGATTTTTCCTATTGTTATCTTCGCTACTCAGCAGCATCACAAAGTCTCAATACACCATTATGAAGCATTTATAAAAACTTATTATGAGCTTTAGTTCTTTTCATAGCAGAATTTTGTATTTATTTGCCCAGATGCTCTAACCACTGCCTGACCTTCTAAAATTAAAGGATCCTAATAAATGTAGCATTTCAAAGAAACCTAGGAATTATCTACTCAAGTGACCTTATCTTATATCTGAGAATATTAAGAGCCAGAGACAGCAAGTGACATGCCTAAAATGACACATTTGGCAGTAAATGCAATACTAGTTTCCAGGTATGTTATTTAACACTTTGGCAAAATTCTCCAGCCATCCCTGATTCCATGCCTTATGACATATAACTGTGCCATGCCCTTTCACTATGGGCAGGGTGTAATTCCACATCCTTGGGCTTTGTCATGTGACCTATTTTGGCCAATGAGATATTAGCAGATGTGCTGTAAGCAGAATTATGAAACGCACTTACACCATGGAGCTTGTTTGTACTTGTAACTGTCATTTCCAGAAGAAGAAAAGGGTGAGAGAAACATGAAGTAGAATCTATTCAGCCCAGCTTCAGTCAATCAGCCATTTGCTAACCCACAAACTCAGAAGACACAAATAATTGCTGTTTCAAGGCATTGAATTATGGATTGGTTTATTATGAAGCAATATATAAGATTAGGTTGTTGTTGTTATCATTGTTAAGGTTCCCAGAATGTCCTCTGAAATAATCACAGGAACTCAAAATAATGAAGACTCACTTTTTTTTTCTTTAAAATGCTCTAATCTAATACTCAGCTAAAGCCCAAACACAAAACTAATATTGAGAGGCATTGTCATGTTATTCGGGTCTCAGCTCCAATATTACCTCCTGGGAGAAGCTTTCCCTTGACAACTAGTATAAAATTGCCCCTTATCTTTTTCATTACTCTAGCACATTACTCTGTTCATGTGTTAGAAATGATCTTTTTTTTTTTAAATCTGTTGTTTATTTTTCTTACTAAAATTGAAGTTCCATGAAACTAACCTTACCTGTCTTGCTCACCTATATGTTTGTTTATAGCCTCTTACAATACATGGTACAGAGTGTGTCTTCACTAAAAATGTTCAAAGAAAAAAAATACAGTGTTTGCAATTTGTCTGTTAGACATTTTTGGGTCTGAAGTTCTTCTAATAACTGCTTGATGAGTAATTGGTCTAAGGAATTAGGGAAGACTTCAAAGAGAAGGTGACATTGATCTGGGCTTCGAGGGATAGAATTCCACCAAGTAGAGGTGTGTGGGATGCAGTGGCATTCCAGTATAAATAAAGATATAGAAATATAAAAATTATCAGTGTAACTGAAACAATCTAGCTTGGCTGGAGTTTAATCTCTCATATTCACAGTGAGAATGGGAGAGGATGAGCCCTGGACTTCTTGGTTTCTCAGTTCCAAATTGGAAAGTGTCTTGACTATCACCCTATGGATTTCATACTCTATCTTTTAGATCATAAGGTTTTAAGCAACAGTGTAGTTTGGTAAGGGAATTCTGCTGGTTGTGTGGAAAGTGAAGGTAATATAAGAGAAGAGTGGAGGCAAGAGATCTCTTAGAAGACCATTGCCAATAGTCTAGGAGAGAAATGATGACTAGTATGTGTAAGGCCATGATAGCAGTGGGAAAAAGAAGGGAGGGGATGAATATTAGAGATGTGTGAGGGAGAGAACCGATGGGTTTCACTGACCAATTTGACATAATGGGTGAGAAAAGGAGTCAAAGGAAAACTCGAATTCTCTAGCTTATGTGATAGATGGAATGTTATGCCAAGTTGGAGAGCACAGCAAGAGAAGCAAGTGTACAAGAACATAATGAGTCCTGGATATGCTAAATTTGAGATGTTGGGGGCTTTACTTCAAAAGCTCATTACACTCAAGGCTTATGCCTGGAACGATCTCTCCAAATATGCAATAAGCATGAACCTTTGAAATGGTCACTTGTTACCTTTATTTTTTAAACCCTCTTCTATATCTGTGCAATATCCATTAATAACACCATGGTAAGTTAAAATAAGCATTCCTCCTCACCCCACCACTTGCTTACACTGTAAGCAGAACTGGTCAGTGATAGAATTAAGATATCTTGCATTAAGTTTTTGATGGTGGAGGGAGATGAAAAAGATTAGATTTATTTTCTGGTCATTTTACTATGCAGCAATCCTGAGCCAAATCATGTATAGTCATGAAAAATGAGCTGATTGCAATGAACACAAAATGTGAAGATAAACTTGGGTCTATAGTGCTGAGTAAAGACAGAATGATGTTGATGTTTGCAGAAACTAGGTGGGCTGAGTAGTGGGTTGCAGAGAACATATCATCTGTGCCAGATAGTTCACACCAAAAGTCAGAGCTACTTAGTTGGCACTGTGTTCCTAGACCCAACTGTCTTGGAACCTTCAGACAGAACATATATATATTTATATATATATATGTAAATATACCTACATATACATTTATGTGTATATATACATATATGTAAATATATATACACACATATATGTAAAAAAAGTCCCAAACCTTGCAGTCCCCCTTGACAATAGACAGAGCTGTGTTATAATTCTCATTATCAAGATTTTCATTTTTGAATCTAAGCCATTTTTTAGACTCTGACCCCCTCCAATTTAAGTTACATGCTCCCATAGAGCCTGTGAATATTTCTATACTGGTTAGACCTATTTTCTATCTCTCTCTCACTAAGCTATAAACTTCTTAAGGAAAAGGGCAATATATTAGGTATGTTTACTTCAGAGTGTTTGGCACTCAGTAGGTCCTCAATGATTGCCTGCTGAATTTAAGGATGAATGAGTGTGAGCCTCTGTTGCTTGCTATTATGGTTCTTCATATGTCCGCAGGTTGTTGTTAAATAATTCCTCTGACCTGATATTTCATGGGTTTTAAAATCCCACTCACTTTATTTGAAGTGTAAAGGCGTGCTTCTGGATCCAGTACAGGATGGAGAATAACTGGTAAGAGGAAAGTTTTGATACTAACACATTTATTGTAGAAAGGATAGTGTTAATGAAAAATGCCATCTATTTTCTTGAGCCCAACCAAACTCTAAAGTCATATCAGTATAAAAAATTGAGAAGTACATTGAATGGGATAGAGGTTTTCATTAGAGTAGACATGTTTGAATCTTTACTGAGTGTAGCTTTCTCAAAGTCACATGAAAGGGTTGCTCATGACAACAAATCATCTTCACTCTCTGCTCACAGTTATTCATTTAGGCCCGCTGTCCAGGATAAGATGAGATTCCCACAGGACAAACTCAAGATCAGCAAAATCAGAAAAAGATTCTCCTAACTGATGGAAAACAAACAGAATAGCCTAGTCCTTGCTTCCTTACACCTTTATTTATTGTATCTTGTAGTATAAATTTCTTGCATAAAATATATTTATAGCTTATCACATTCTACCATCTTGGCGACAAGGGCACACAAGCTACAAAAAATGTTTTCATAAAACTGTAATTATGTATACAACTCTTGAGCCTGTATCTTTTTTTTTTTTTTTTTTTTTGAGACGGAGTCTCGCTATGTCACCCAGGCTGGAGTGCATTGGCACGATCTTGGCTCACTGTAAGTTTCGCCTCCCGGGTTCTCACAATTCTTCTGTTTCAGTCTCCCAGGCAGCTGGGACTACAGGTGCCCACCACTACGCCTGGCTAATTTTTTGTATTTTTAGTAGAGACAGGGTTTCACTGTGTTAGCCAGGATGGTCTCGATCTCCTGACCTCATGATCTGCCCGCCTTGGCCTCCCAAAGTGCTGGGATTACAGGCGTCTTAAGCCTATATCTTCTAAAACAGTTCAGTTTACTAGAACTTCCCAAAGACTAATAATTACTGTTTATGTGGTATTAATAAGGCAAGACTTTACTAATTAATACTAATAAGTCAGAATTTGTGGGTCTGCGTGGTTTTTGATAAAAATTAGGGTTTATACTCATTGATGAATCAGTGTAAAATAAGTTGTCTCACAGATCAAGATATTAATGGTTCCTTATATGCACAGAGTTTTGATGATGAAAGCTTGTTTTTCAAAATTAGATTATCTACAATTATTCATAAGTAGCCGTTTTAGCTTAATTGTAATATGTACTGCAAAATTATAAATATAGTAGCTTTTTACAATCAGATTAGTGAAACTACAATCTTCCATATATTAGAAATTTTACTAATAAAGGCCAATCTTTCCTTCAACTACTGTGATTTAACATTTCCCAGAGTTAAAATTTTTAGAAATGAAAGGGTTGCTAACCAGCCAAGGATGTGGAATCACACCTCACCACATACGCTCCATTGCACCTTATCGTTGGTGACTTCAAAGGCATCAAAAATGCTTATTTTTATGGAACAGATAGAGACATTTTACTCAAAACATGACAGTTTTCACAGACTATCTAAAAGCAGTGAAGTTTTCAATGAGAATTATTTTCCTAGGGGCCCTTTTATGTAGTCACGAACATTGTAGTAAGTAATCTGTACAACAACCTGATTCCAGTGGTGCCACATTTGAGAAAAAGCCTTGTCTTTTCTCCTTCGATCACAACCACAGTAGCCAGAGTGAACCACAAGGGTTCAATCGCTGAAGATGGATCTTTTTGCCTCTACTCTGTGATCCACTGTCACTCCCTGGAGAGTTGGGAGGAGGCAGTGTTGGTCGTAATGTGCTTAGCTAGAATTGCCGGTAGAGGGCAAAAAGAAGAACAATTCAAGGTGATAGTGGAGTCAGGCTCCTGCATTCTATAAGCTTCTTGGCTCACTCTAGAGTCTGCTGCATCAATTGGCAAGACTCCCCAGTGTGGGGTTTCTGTGGGGAAAAGAGCCTTAACTTCTTTTCAGATTTAAAGGCCTAGACCACTGCATGATGGATTCTCCCCTAATATCATTAGTTGCACATGCTGCTAATTGTAGTGGCTGCTAATCCATCTAAGCAGCCAAAATGATATTAGCTTTCAATAGGATTTACATATATCCAGGCTTGTTTCTGCATCAGCTAGCAATTAAAGTTTAAACTGTTGAACATGCAGCTTGCTGTAGGCTAAGTAATATTTAATAGCATTAACAATGCATTTCCCTATTTGCCTCTGAATCTCTTTACAGGCTCATCAATTTGCCATCACCTTTGTGTGGCACAGCCCACATTAGCTCTTATCCTAACAGCTTCCAGAGGAGGGCACTGTCATAAGAGACAAGACAATAGAAATGCCAGCTGCACATATTGGTATTAGCAGCACAATTTATGTCTCTAGGCCTATCCCTGCCATCTCTCTCTCTCTCTCTCAAACATACATGCACACACACACACACACACACACACATACACACAGACTTCTTGGGGGAAGGTGGGGTGGTTTATCCTTTCAAGTCAGACTTTGAGAAACTGTAATGTAACTTATTTGGACAAAAGAACATATAGAAGATGAATATGAACTAAAAAGCTGTTCAAATTGTTCCAAATCATGTATGGAATCCAGCTCTTTCAAAGTTTCAGTGTAAGCAGGATTAAATTCTTGATTGGCTTGTTTAGCAAAGATTTATTTGTATGTGATTGTGTGAGATTAGGCTAGAACATGACTTCCATGAGTATAGTTTCTTTGTCTTGTTCACAGCTATGATCTGAAGCATCTAGCACAATGACTCACAAATAGAAATACTTAGCAAACATTTGTGGAAGTAATGATTCTGTGACATGAGTGGTGAACAATTCAAACTTCCTGATCCTGACCTCACACCCCTGATTATCTCCTCCCTTCTCACAGTGCACACACCCACTGCCCACCCACTCCTTATTTCTAGACCATTCATTCACTTGTAGGTGGACAAGACCGGTGGGGAAAAACATCTGACTTGGGATGGCTAGAAGATGTTCTGTAGGCACTCTGCAAGAAAGCTGTCCCTATCAGAACCAGGCCTTGGGAGGCTTAATACAAAGATATCTTTCTGGACTATAAATCTTCCTGCCTGGGGATCAGCATTGGTGGGTTTCAAATGGTGGTTTATATGGCACACTTCAGGATGAGAGTATTAGTTTCCTAGGGCTGGTGTTACAAAATATCAAAAACTGAGTGGCTTAAAACAACAGAACTTTATCAACTGGATGTCTGAAATTAAAGTGTTGGCAGGGCCTTGCTATCTGACAGCTTCTGGGGACAGTCCTTGCTTACCTCTTTTAGCTTCTGGTGTTTGCTGGTGATCCTTGACGTTTCTTGGCTTGTAGATGACAGCCTTCTCCCTGCGTGTCCTCACATTGTTTTACCTGTGTCTAGATGTCTCTGTCTTATAAGGGCACCAGTCATATTCAATTAGTGCCCATCCTAATGACCTCATTTTTAACTTAATTATCACCATAAAGACTCTATTTCCAAATAAGGTCACATTCTGAAGTACTGGCGGTTAGCACTGAAAGCTATCTTTTGAGGGGAACAAAACTTAGCTCATCACAGAGGGTTATGTGCAGTTTGGCAGAGGGTTAACAGTGTGTTTTCAAGGCTGAAATATCTCCCTTCTTGGAAACCAGAATAGTTCATATTCTGTGGACATAGAGGTTATTAATTATTGAATTGTTTTCTCATTGCTTGAGCCCTACTGTCTCGTAGTTCCCACTCCAACTGACTTTTATTACATATGTTCTCCAACTATTTTTCTGATCATTCCTTGTGTTTAGTAATTTTTCTTTCTCATCCATCTCTTGAATGTGGCCACTAGTCAGCTTTCTCCAGAGAAACAGAACCAATAGCATAGATATAGATATATAGAAAAAGATTTACTATGAGGGATTGGCTCACGCAATTTTGGAGGTGCCATCTGCAAGCTGGAGGCCCAGGAAAGCCAATGGTGTAATCCAGTACAAGGCTGAAGGCTTGAGAACCAGGGGAGCCAATGGTATAAGTCCCTGTTCAGGTCCTAAGGTTTGAGAACCAGAAGCATTGATGTCCAACGGCAGGAGACAATGGATATCCCAGCTCAAGCAGAGAGCAGTTTTGTTCTATTCTGCCCCTCAATGGATGGGATGATGCCCACTTGTTCTGGTGAGGGCAATCTTCTTTACTCTTCAGTATTGATTCAAATGCTAATCTCTTCCAGAAATACCCTCTCACACACACCCAGCGATGTTTTACCAGCTACCTAGGCATCTCTTAGCCCAGTTAAGTTGACATAAAATTAACCATGACAGTGGCATTCTCTCTAAACTATCGCTTTGCAGTCTTTTTGCTGTGTCTGGCTGACAGGCGACTGCTTTAAATTACATTTGCTCTTTCGTCCTTCAATACGGGGCTATTGAGTCTACTTTATGAAAAAATTGGTCTTGTGAGACAGTCAGGCCAATTCATTCTACGAGTTAGCTATTTTATTAGGAATAATGATATCTAAAGGTCATTGTTTTGTTATTTTATTTCAAAGTAACCTATTGTTTTGGCATTCACATGGAATAAGGAATAAAGGTAATCAAAGCTCCTATTTCCATAGACATTGTATATTTTGCTTTGAAACACAAAAATCCTGAAAACATTTAGCACTCTTGGGATGAGTTTATCTCCAGGCTACTGTCAGGATGTACTGGAGTGAAATAAATGAACGCATTTACCTTTTATACCTCACTTCTTCCTCTTTGAAAATTCTTTAATGTAATTGTAATAAGCTTGGTAATTTTGATGGCTTGCAAAACACTGAAATCTCATCTTAGTAGAATGAAATATCCCTTGTAATGACAATGAAACATGTCCTAACGATCTACCTACCCTGCACCCATCATTTAACTAAATAAAAAAGTATAGAAATAAGGAATAATACTTATGTCTATTAATTAAGAATTTAAAAATGAATAAAAACATTATTTCTGTTGAGTTTTATTAGCTCCGGCTTCAGAGAAGAGCTCCATAGATGTCCTTGGCCAGAATAGACAAGAACAGATGAATGGCTTTCTTCACGCTTCTTGTTGGCCCAATCAGCCATGCTTTAGGGTCATGTTAAGTTTGCCATTTTTGTATGAAATCACTTAATAAATTGATTGGCACCTTATCTCTGTGTCAATGTCACTCCACTTTTAGAGATGTCCAAACTGTTTAACTATCAAAAACAAACCATGGAGGACAACTTAGTGAGAAAGGGCTTGTGCTAGCTGAAGATCAAAGGAAGACAGATGACTGCTGTATATATTTGATGTTACCAGAGAAGAAGTATAGTGATTTAGTCAGTGCATATGGTCAGAGCGTCTTGGCTGGCCGCAATACAGCTGGAGAATAAGCCAGGACAAGCATCAGAATGACATTTTCTGAGGAAAACAGGACTTTCAGCTTTAGGAGGATGCCTATTAGAGTGTGACTTTATGTAAACTATATTTTAGAAAATTGATGAAGCTAATTCTGGACATGTTAAAGGAAAAAAGAATCCTTTGATGTGGACAAATGTTACAAAGCATAAAGCAAACTATCATCACATTAACAATATGACACTTTGAGCTGGCTAAGCAGGAATTTCAAGAGAGCTATCAATAAATTGTCTGTTGATCCTGTGGCCAAATTTTAATTTATGAGTATTTTATTAACTTGGGTTCAGAGTCTGAGTTCTCCACACATGGTCAGTTAATGAATGTGTAATGTATTTTGTTATATAATATATTGCAAATGCTGGGGAAGATTAGGTAAAATGTTAAAAAGAGGTAATATGAGAAGCAATATTTTCTTTTAGCCTTATGTGGGTTATTCTTTGAATGATTTTATCATAAACTATGATGTATACAGAGAAAATTTTCAGGATATAAGTTCTGGTCAGACTGAAAAGCAGGATGTAATGATAATTTTAAGTAGTTTCCCAACTTGACTTTTTTTTTTTTTTTTGGTCTGACACTCTTCTTGATAAGGTTGTAGAATAACATTGTGCAACCTCTCTCTTTTTCTCTCTCTCTTTTTAAAGCAGTCACTTTAAAAACACAAAGTGCCTGTTGTGAGTAGCCTAGCCATGAAAGCAGAGATTGGGATAGGCAACTTCAGACTACGCTCCAACCATGCTTGTCTATGAAGAATACTTAGGGCTTAGGTTAGGGAAAATTTGATATCATATTTTTAAAAGCAAATTATGAGGAGCTGTTCCCAAAATTTACTATGTGTTTGGTTTGGACTTCTATGTCCACAAATTTCTAGGATTCATTTGCAAAATGGTAAGTTAATTTTATTCTCTCAAACATGAGCAAAGCATCAAGGAAAAGGATCTTAAAAGGTAGTGTGACATTTTATTCTATAAAATTCCCAACAGCAGAATCTGAATGTCTGTACACAATCCTGTATACCACCTAACTTTAAAAACTTTTAAATGATATAGGTATTTGTCACCAGATGGCATGGGCTATAAAGGCAGGTACCTTGTCTTATTTACTCTGGCATCTAATGCAGTGTCTGGCACACAGTAGGTGTTCATAAACATGTATCACATATTCACCATATGAGTAATTATAATTTAAGGTGGCTTTAGAATTTGAGCTAATTATTTCCTTTCAAACTTATTCTTTCAGTCTTTCTTGTCTTAGTAAATGGTAACACTGATTACTCAATGGCTAAGCCAGAAACCTGGGCACTGTCCTTGGGTCTTTTCTCTCCCTCACACCTCCTATTTAACAATCCGTGTTTTTGCTGCCCTGTGCTGCTGCTGTGCAAAAGTCTGCCACATCATTTCTGCTTGGACCTCTGCAATAGTGCCCTTACCAGTTTCTCTGCCTTAACTCTTGTCTGTTAAAATCTGTTCTCTTCACAGTGGCCAGAATGATCTGAAACCACAAATAGATCATGATATTCTACCGTTTAAACTGTGTAATAGCTTCCCACAGACTTCAAAGAAAATCGACTTCCTCACCAGGGTCTACAAGATCCATATGACCTTGTTCTTGTCTGCCTCTTCAATTTTGGTCTACCCTTCCATTCATTCATTATAACCCAGCTGTGTTTGTCTTCCTTCAGTTCCTAGAAAACGCCACACTTTTCCTCACTTCTCAGCGAATACTCCTGCGGTTTCTTCTGTCTGGAATGAACTTCCTCCCGGTCTTTGCATGGCTGGCTTCCTCTCACCCTTTCAGTCTTGTTTATCCTCTAAGAAAGTTTCCTTGAACCCCTGTACCTGAGTAGGGTTTTTTTCATAGCCCTTCCTCAATTGCTTCACTCACTTTGCATGTTTTTCTGGTCTCTTCACTATTTGAAAAAAGTTACAATTTTTTCATTATCTATCTTCCCTAGTACTTTGAACTGTGCCTTTTTTTGTTTACCATAGCACCCAGTACAATGCTGACAGATATTATGGGCTCAGTAAATATTTTACAAAATGATTTATTGAGTGATGGAACATCTAACTAAATATGTTACATATATGTCTAGTGCATAGGAAAGATAAATGGAAGTTTCATCTTGGCTCAATCACAACCCTTTCTCCCTTAATCCAGTTACTTACTTAGCACAAAATATCTGAAAGCAGTTCTGGGGCTGTTGTGAATTCAAAGATGAGACCTGGCTCTTGCCTTTATGCACTTTTGCCATGGGAAAGAAGATTAACTTGTATACCAGTAACTATAATTTCAAGAGATGGTGGATAAGAGAAGTGTCCTGAGAGTTTTAAAAATATATGTACTATTTATACTCAACCTTATTTTTAAAAGAATTTGTGGCTGGGCACGGTGGCTCATGCTGTAATCCCAGCACTTTGGGAGGCTGAGGCAGGTGGATTACCTGAGGTCAGGAGTTCAAGACCAGCCTGGCCAACAGGGTGAAACCCCGTCTCTACTAAAAATACAAAAATTAGCCGGGCGTGGTGGCACACCCCTGTAATCCCAGCTACTCGGGAGGCTGAGGCAGGAGAATTGCTTGAGCCTGGGAGGCAGAGGTTGCAGAGAGCCAAGATCATGCCACTGCACTCCAGCCTGGCCAACAGAGTGAGACTCTGTCTCCAAAAAAAAAAAAAAAAAAAAAAAAAGAGAATTTGCATTGGATTGTGAATAGGAATTTTAAGAGAAAAATTACCTCTCTGGGTGAACCTGGGGAGATTTCATGAAAAACCCAGTGTTCGACTTAGACTTTGGTGAGTATAGAATTCGGAGGTGCTGGCAGGGTGGAAAAGGGCAGTCGCTGTACACGTGCAAGTGGACAGCTCACATGTACCCTAGAACTTAAAGTATAATATATACATAAAGAAGCAGCTAGAAGGGGCAGAACCTTCATGAGGGATAAATGAGGGAATATGTTTGGAAATGAGGTTAAGTCAGATTGTGCCATGTTTGTGGATTAAGAGTTCTTACATTGTTTGAATAAGCCAAGGGAAGATCTTGAAGGCTTTGGAGGTGGTCAGTGGTTTAATTAGAGCACTCCTAAGAATGGTTAATCTAGAAGTGTCATGTAGGATAGATTAGAAGAGGGAAGAAATGGAAGTAAGGGCATTAGTTTGGAAACTCCCAATTCTAAGAAAGAGACAAATAATATCTATGTGACCTGACCATAGTGTGCATGAAGAAGAAGGAAGATGAGGAAGGTGCTGCAGAAGAGATATCCACATGTTTTGAAAACTCATCAACAGGTTCAAGGTGTAAGGAGGGGAGAAAAAGATACATGTGAGAGTGATAGTAACAGAATGGAGAATAAGAGCAAAAAATTGGTTTCATATAATACTTCAGGCAGAAAAACTGATAAGGGGAGTTCAGTTTGAATACATTGACTATGAGATTGGGGATTATACTTGGAGAAAGGTTTATGATGATGAGATTTCAAGCTTTATGACCTGTTTTCTACATTGGTCAAAGGAAAGAGGATACCCCCTAATTCACTCTCCTTTAAGAATACTGTGAGAAGCAGCCTGGGAAATCACTGATTTCTGATTTCTGTGTAAATCTGACTGGGGTAAAGTGAATGACCCTTGACATGGAGTCAGATGACTTAGGTTGAAATCCTGACTTATGGCTTACTGGCCATGTGATCTTCTCGAACCATGCAAACTCTCCAACCTCAGTTCCTCATGAAATGGAAACAATTCCATGACTATTGTGATCTCAAGAACTAGTAGAGGAATTTGGTGAAATAATGTATTTCAATGTGCATCGTAAATCCTTTTAGGAAAGCAGGATTGGCACGGAAACTCTGGATATGTGCCTTTGACAGGTGATGGGTGCTGGATATTTGATATATCATGTATTCTGCTTTAAATAAATAATTGTCACTTTTTAAAGTTATTATATAGTATTCTTTTCTCTGATCACACATACACATTATCATTTAAAAAAGTAAAGTTTTTGGAAGGGGTTTGTTTCATTGGTCAGGTAACCTGATGATTTTCATTAAAAATTCTTAGTTGTATAAAAGTTAAGCAAGCAATTGGGGACTTCAGGACTTTACCAGTGCTAAAAGTAACTCTGTAAAAAGTAAACCAGTGGAAAAGATAAACTCTGGGGCACCTCTCCTCCCCTCCTGCCTGGCTGAAGCCAAGCTTTCCCGCACTGCCTCCCTGTGTCTGCTGAGAGAAGCACCGGGTGAGTTTCTGCCTAGATAAAGCGCTGTCTCTGCTTACTTCAGGCATGTAGACCCTTTGGGGATGCTGACAGCTGACAGGCTTTGAACACTAGCAGCAGCAGATCTCTGTGCCGGGCTCCATGAGCCGTCCACAGTGCTCTGTGGAAGAAAATGAAAAGCTGCTGGCAGAGCCTCCCTAAAGTTTGGGCAGAACCTGAGGGTTATTTTTATTTTTAAAAACAAACATTTAGAGAATAGCCTATTTCTAAACCTCCTTTACTGTTACAAGAAATTTAATTTCTTTTGAAGTGCAAGCATTCCAAAATGAGGGATGTAAAGAGTTATTGCAGCCAATAAATATGTGGCAGACCCCTTAAAATAAATAAGCACCCTGTCCATTCCTGTATAAATGGCTTTTGTTTGAGGTTCGGATGGATTTGATAAGGATGGTGTTACAACATTTAATGAGGTGTAAAGGAAAAATGACTTTCATAAGTTCACATAACTGTCATTATATTGTCTCCTATGTTCTCCACCCTCACAGACTGTCTCGATCTTTTGACATCTCTACAATAGAAGACAAGGGGATGAGCCGATAAGAGTCTGTATTTGCTGTGGGTACATAAACAGATATTAAAGGTACCAAGAAAAGCTACCAGCAAGGAGGAGAAACAAGAAAGCTGTGTGTGGACTGTTCTTATTGGCATGTAGTAGCCTGCTTCAGTCCACACAGAGACTTTTGAATAAACTAAATATTAAATTGGTACACACGTGTACATGTACACACACACACACACACACACACACACACACACAGAGAGAGAGAGAGAGAGTTCCTAGAGCCATAATCTTTCTTTGATTCCTTCCTCATGTGGATTTTATGTCTTGATCATCTTTTTAAAATCAATAACCATCCTGTTGATTTCTTTTTCCTTTTTAAGTCACCTCCTTCTGTGGCAACATTAGCTAAACACATCCCCGATTCCATTTCGCTCATTAGTATTAATGTCGTAATAATCATTCCCTTCCTTGGCTCCTCAGACTTGCTTCAATATTTACACATCGGCCGAAGCTGATTGAGCAGGAATAATGAGACTTTGACACTCTGCACTGCACAAGGTGGAGGAAAACTTGTTTCCACTGGGTGGACTTTATAGTGAAACAAATTGTATGCCTTATAATTATTAACTAAAATGACAAGCAGTGTCCCTACTATTTGTTACACTTGCCCAGCACTGTGGTGGTGGTGGTGGCATCACCCTAGCTGGACTAATTCCCTGCCTCTCAAGTGACCATGAGAAATGGAATTGCCCTTTAGCCTTCTCCAGACTCTACCCAAATTATTGTTTCATTCTTTTTAAGGGAAAGGTCCCTCTTCGGTCAGAAGGCTTTTATACAGGCTTGTCAGATTGGGAGGGCTTGTACAATTTTATATGTATAGAGCTTCTTTTTTCTTTTCTATTTATTTTCTGGTAAGTTAAACAAGTCAACTTTCCTGCTTTCATCAAACACCTAATTGAACTGGCATTTTGAAGCGCTTGCCAGACGTTGTGTTAGGAGGTGAAGCACCTTCCGACATATTCTCTCATTCCAGGATAAAGTTAAAATAAAAATAATATGTACTGAAGATAGAGTTTTTAAAACATGGAGACATTCTAGAAAGCATGCATCTAAGAATTTACTTGACCTAATTTCAGAGAAAGAGAAAAATTAAAATATCTTTTCATCTCCAACAACATCCTTGTCTTCTAAACCAAATCACCAACATTTTCTAGAAACCTGGATTTGTTTTAGAGACAAGGAGAACTCTTTTTTACTAATATTTGCCCCCTAAGGGTAGAATGTTTGTAGATTTAGACATCTGTGCTTCCTGTCACAGACCAGCTAAAGACTTTCTCATTGCCCCATGTTTTGAAGATTTGTTTTTATCATTGGCGATTCCCTCCTTTAGCACTGGATCTACAGGGGTGTCTCCCTGCTGAGAGTTCAAAATGTTTCCCTACCACAGACGACACTTTCCCCCAACATGGCATGCAGCTTCCATGCACACTCTAGAATACATCTATATTCAGGACTAATTGTTGTTAATCCTGCATTCATTACTCAGTCCTGGCTGGAGCTCTTGCCTATTTTTGTTTCGGTCAGCAGTTCAGAAAAAAAAAAAAAAAAAATCCAGGGACAGTATAAATATCACTATTTAAAACTGGATGTACAAGGACAGAGACCTTCAGGATGGGGATACAGACCTTTAAGAGCAGAGGAAATTGTTGAAGCAGTTTTTTAAATTCACAGAACTGGTATAGGAGAGAACAAAAAAAAATTGGAGAAGAATCTAAAGAAGAGGCGGGGTGAAAGGAAGTGCAAGAAACCAAGCAAAGGGTTCCTGGGCTCACAAAACCTGAGCCTGGAGACTGGGAGCCCATGGCAAGCTACAGGGAAGGGTTGCACTACAGCCATCTGCTATGCCTCCAAAGATGACGGAGGGTGCTTTCGCATAGGATAGAGTGAGTGCGAGAGTTCTGCTCAGTGCCTCTGAGTTTCCTAATATTTTAGCCTCCCGAAGGATAGCCACTTTATGGAATAATCTTCTAATTTTATAACCAGAATAGATGTGAATAATCAGTTTTAACCATCTCTTTTTAAAAGTAAGACTACAAAAAGTCTAATAAGTTCATAAAATGCACAGTTTTGCAAAACTGGCAAGTGTCAGAGTCATGTCTCTTGACTGTTAAGCTAGGGCAATGTAGCTGTTGGAGCCAGACAAATGGATGCTGGCTTCTGTGAGGTAGATGGAATCATAAGCAGGTGACCCACAAATGAACAAAATATCTCATGGAGTAAAAATTCCAAATGCAATTCAAGTTCCTTGACTGAGGTCTAGACCATAAACATAATAAACCAGAATCATAAATATAAACTGGAAAATAAACCGTTTTGAGTGGCTGCCTCAACTTTTCTACTTTCTAACAATAGCTTTAGTTGGAACGTTTACAGGGGAGCTTTTATATTTTCCTGGGGAAAAATATTCTTCTCTGCTCTTCAGGAAACATCATTAGCCACATTGATTGATTGATTGATTGATTCCTGTATTTATTCAGTCATTCAGTATATATTTATGAAGTCCTTGGTTTGTTCAAGTTTCTGAATTGTAGAAATTCCTTCTTTAAAAAAGTCGTAGTCTCAACATAAAATTTATTCTCAAATAGCAAAAATCTGGTCTCTTACTCCAAATTACAAAGTACAAGTTAGCATACCAGAAGGCATTTTTTATTTTAAATAGTCTAGCACAAAACTATTTTAAATGTTTTTTTTAAAGGACAGGGATTAGTTAGGAATCTGCTCCCCACCCCAATCCCCATCCAGAATTTCTTGGTGGAGAAGATTCCTGCTTATAGAGGATCTGAGACTTACTGGCCTTCTGCTGTGAGCTGGGTAACATATAAGGGATTTTACTGTTTTATGTAACTACTTTTATCCTTCAAGATACTTTACCCCATTTTACAGATAAGCAAATGGAGGCTCAAGGCATTAAGAAACTTTCTGATGGCCACGAACTTAAAATGGCAGAGTCAGAACTCAAGTCTGATCTGTTTCCTCTCTGTTTGGCACCTGGTCTTGTGGTAGATTGACTGGTGCTCTGTCTGCTCCATGAGTTGGGTGGGAATTATTGTTTCTTCCATATAATGGGCTGGGAATATTTTTGGGGGTTGAGCTGGAAAACCTTGCCTAAAATTAAATTGTTTCTCTATGCTAAAATCAGTTATTTGTTCAATATTACGTGCTTGGACTGTGCCAGTCCGTACTGTGTGTTAATATTTCAAGAACAAATAAGAAATTTCCATTTGTCTTAAGAGGCTCATGGTCTACTGGGGTGGTAGTGACATATATACATATATATATATATATATATATATATATATATATATACACACACACACACACACACACACAAATAAATGCAGCACAGTGTTCTGTGACTCTATGATAAATCAATATGCATGGTACAGTGGGTGGACAAGGGAGGGACAGGTCAATTCTGCTTGGGAGTGAGGGCAGGTGCAAGGATGTCTTTCACAGAAGTAAGTGAAACTGAGATCATGTATTTGAAAATGTCCTTGACAGTGTCTGGTCATATGTGGTTATAAATATTCGTTATTTTTGTTGTGATAACCAGAAAGGTCTGAAATGGATATATTACATCTATTTTATTCTCCTGCTTAATTTCTGTGAGTTTGACTGCCTGACTTTTTTTCTTGGTTTATACTTTTTCTGTGTGAAGTCATGAGAATGTGATCTAGATCTTTTGTCAGGACAGCACCACCTGCAATTTAGCCACTTAAGGGACAAAAGCAGAGGAAGCAGGGAGCACCCACTTTTCGAGAGGCAATCATTAAGTCAGGCTTTGGAAACTTCTTCTGTCTTCCGTTGCTCTCACTAATCAGAAACCTTCTCTACTTCTGTCACAACCTCCTCTCTTCAACCACATCCCCAGGAGTCTGTCAGGAGATGAAAACAACAGGCTCCCAAAGATGAGAGAAAGAACCAACACAGTAGAACCACTCTAGGGATACACTTCGAGTACGTGCATGTGTGTGGTTTCTTTAAGTCACTGGGAAAGTTTTTAATGCTCCTAGAAGGCAAAGAGGCCTGGAGAGTTACAGAAAGCCCCAGCAGTCTCCAGCTGACACTTGAAAGAAACTGAAGCCATATATCCACCTCAGAAAGAGATGCAGAAAGGAAAGCAGCAGGGGTCAGCTGCACTGGGTATTTTATGTTTTTGTTGTTTCTTTCCTTTAAAAAGTGCATGTCATAGATATATCCTCATCAATCATTTTCAAAACACAATTACACAGGCACATTGGTAGCTTGTTTCCATATTTTTACATACATTCCTACATGAGAGGGCACCCTCTTCTCTGTTTTCCTCTCCCCTCCCCTCTCCTCTCTCTTTCTCTCTTTACTCAGTCCTGCCAACTTTCCTTGGTAGACTTTCTGTCCTTCAGCAATTATTTAAAGCCAGAGAAGCATAAAAGTTGAAGTGTTATCCTAAGATAACCCAGGCTTTGAGGGCAGGTTAAGTTGCAATTGAAGACCAAGTCCACTCCGGGAAACACGGATTTCATCTATTGTCTCTACCAATATTGAAGCTGTTTGTCATTAGAGATCTAAGAAAAGCAACGTGGAAGCAGTAAGCTTGCTATTTAAGGACAATGAACCCAGTCTAAAGGGTGTATGGTGGAGGATGATATGCGTGCATGTGTTCATGCACACATGTGCGCACATGCACACAAACACACATACACACACTTTCGTTGTCTTTGTGCAAGGTTACGTGCAAGGTTAATACAATAATCTCACTTTGTGTTCATATAGAAAGTGGATGGCCATCTATGCCTGTACTTTCTGGTCCTTTTTCAAAATATCATCTTGGAGTAGGTAGCACCTTGGGGTCCCTCCTAATTCAAAATTTCTATGGGAGACAATTTTTGCCCAGATTAGATCTGGTACACTACCTTCATCCAATCTGCTATGACCAAGGGATCGGACTGATGGAGAAGAAACATAGATGTCAAGGGCATAATACTACATGTTGTAGATGAAGGCACTTCCCAATGGATGGCAGTTCTTTGAGAAACAACCAAAAGGCATCTGGTAGGGTGCATAAGAGAGTCCTGACTTTGCTTCAAATAACCTGAATATCTCTGGTAATTTATTAACATTCTCTATGCTTTATTTTCCCATATTTATGTAAAGAATTTGAAAATAATTGGTGTTTAAGCTCCCTTTCAGCCATAAGTAGCTATGATTGTCTTATGATATTTTTATTATAACTGTCCTTTTCTTGTTGTAACTGTGACTTCTGGTTAAATATGTCAAATAGAACCCAAGGGTTTATCTCAGCAACCTCTTCAACTGCTAGTAAAATGAATATAATATAAAAAAGGTATAGTTTCATTAAAATTCACAAGAAAGGAATAAATTCACAAGAAAGAAAAACAAATGAGAGAGGCTAACAAAGCCCCAAAAGCTAAGAAGCTGATGGTTAAATGGGAATGACTTGGCAAAGCAGAAGATAAAAGCCGAGCCCAGAGAGGAGGCAACCAGTCTATCCACAGAACAATTGAAAGCCTCTGGAGAAGAGAGTGCATAAAGAGGTTGAAAACACAAGTGTTAGTTGAAAGTCTGTATAAGGAGCCATGAGAACCCCAGATTACCTCCTGAAGATCCATTATAGACACTCAATTCTCATCTCCAGGAGCCAGAAGACACGAATAATTACTCTCTGGAGGGACTGAAGTAGAGAGGCTCTGGATCCAGACCCTGAGCAAGTGGGGGCAAGGTTCTGTAAGGAAACCAAGGAGACCTGCTGGGAAAATCTTCTCAGTGACTTTTGACCTTCTCCCTTGGCTCCCAGAACACTGGAAACTAGGCGGGTGATTGGATGATTACCTTCTGGAGAAATTTAATTATCCTAGAAGAAAGGCCTCCACTGGCCATTCAGAAAGCCCTAACAAAATAGCAAATTTCTAAATCACTAACTACCATACAATAGGCTCCGCCATGCCCCAGAGTGTCCAATCAGTTTTTCAGTTATTTAGACAATATACACAGACAGACAAGGATCTGAGGACATGTGAGAAAAGCCACTAACATGAAAGCCAGAGACTAAAATAGCAAACAGAAAAAGGAATTCAGGAATATGGAAACAATACAGGCAGCAGAATTAAGCATAAAAGAAAAACTACCAATATTATTGTCCAAGAGATGAGAGAAGATAGTACATGATAAGGCAATAAGAGATGATAAAGAAAAACATTGACAGAATAAGAAATAACTCTAGGAATTAATATCTGGTATAGCCAAAACAACAAATTCAGTAAAAGTATTGCAAGTTGAAATTAAGAATAGAAAAAGAAGAAAAACATACAAGATGGAAAGCAGAAGAGACTAGGTAATTAGGATCCATCCAAGAGACCAAACATATTAATAAGCAATTACTAAGTTAAAGAAAAATAGAAATTTGTGCAAGAAAGAAATAATAGAAAATACTAGATGGTTCTGGAATAAAGGATACTTTATAGTCATAATAAAATAAATACTTAATATTGATTTAACATAAATTTTGATATAACTGCTTTTTGTTGTATTCCAGTGAAGTTGCATGTATAAAAATATACTATTTGCCATTTCTCTTCCTTTTATTATAAATTCTTATTCATGCTTTTATTTTTGATGTATTTCCCTTTAATTATTATTTTATAGATACTCTTGATGTAATAAATTATATACCTTTCAACTATCATATCATTTAAATTTTGTTTTTAGTTTGTCCTTCATCTTGTAATTTACTTAATTTTTTAATGTATAGAATATTTAAATTTTTAGTGTCCGAACCTATCAAACTTTTTATTATTTCCATATTTTCACATTGCTGGAAGGTTATTCTATGAAAACAAATATAACATTTACTTTTATTTTCTTCTTCAATCAGTATGGCTTTTGATTTCCACAGAGTACTCTTTTAATACATTTATGTGCATGAATTGTAGCTAGAAATTTAACTCTGTTTTTTTGCGGTTAGATTTAACTCATTATCCTAGCATGATTTATGGAATAATCCAACCTTTCTTCCCTTGGTTCAAAATGCCATTATTGTCATGTGCTAAATTCTTACATATGCTAGGATAATTCCTGGACTTAAAGTTTCATAGTTTTATTCATGTAGGTAAAAAACATTTTCATTGGGTTAATTATTGTATAACAAGTGTTTTATCATTATAAATGAGATTCTTAAAAACTCATGCTAGTCTCTGATTATTAGTATTAAATAGGAAAGCTATTGATACATGTATTATTTATTTTATAATATACCATTTTGCTGAAATTATTATTTCTAATGGTATTTGAATCGGGTTAAACAGATATATGATTATATAACTTCCAAATGATTACAAATGTGTCTTCCCCTTTCAAGATTTATGCCTTTGATTTTGTTTTCATGTCTTGGTTAAAACTTTCAGAATAATGTTGAATAATAATGATAGCACTGGGCACTGTAATTCCTGGCTGTAATGGGACTGCCTTTAAAGAAGTGATATGAACACAAATGCTGAGAAAAACTTGGCAAGGGGCAAAAAAGTGACACAGGCCAAGTTAGGAAAACAACAATACAAATGTCATAAAACCTAGTCACTGCCACCTGGCGTCTGCACAGAGGGAATTAGGTAGAGTGCTGGTAACTGGCAGGCCAGAATGTACAGAGCCAGTCTGCGTTGGCATACCCCTACTCAGCTACAGTTAGTTGTCATGTGGGCCTAATGTGGAAGAGAAAACAAAGCCCTGGAAGTTTATATAAAATATCATGATTTTTAAATGCTGGCAACTAGAGCAAATTAAAAATGAAACAACAAACCAGCCAAAACAAATCTATCTGTAGGTGATATCTAGCCCTTGGGCCACAGCAAGCTCGTGACCTGTCGTACAGGCTGTAGTTACACTGAGTACGATACTGGCTGTTGATTCCAGATAGATTTGTTTTTCATATGAAGGAAATATATTTTAATTTATTCTTTACCAAGAAATTGTATCAGAAACAGATGCTTTCCTGATTTCCAGGAATAGATGCTACGTTAGCATTGAGATGATTTACATGACTTTTCATACTCCCAGAAAGTTGTGCTTTTATTAAAATTTTAAAATTTATTAGCATGGGGTTATCTATATTATTATTTTCTTGATATGCTCCGTATTGAAAGTTAATCATATTTTCTCATTAATATTGTATTAGTCTGCTAGAGCTGCCATAACAAAATACCACACACTGGGTGGCTTAAACAGCAGAAATGAATTTGCTCACAGTTTCAGAGGGTAGAAGTTCAAGATCAAGGTGTTGGCAGCTTTGGTTTCTCCTGAGGCCTCTCTCCTTGGGTCGTATATGGGCTCTTGTTGGATCCTCACATGGCCTTTTCTCTGTGCACGTGCATCTCTAGTGTCTCTTTCTCTGATAGGGACACCCATCCCATTGGATTAGAGCCCATCATTATAACCTCAATTAATCTTAATTACCTCTTGAAGGGTCCTATCTCCAAATTACAGCTGCGCTGGGAGTTAGAGCTTCAACATATGAATTTTGGGAGGACACAGCTTAGTTCCTAATGAATATTTTGGTTATCATTTTTCCCCTTTCTTCAACATTACCAGAACTTTCTTCTTTTTTATTGTTATTTTTTCCAGAGAATGAGCTCTTGGTCCCACAGAGTCCTAAGCATCCTTTTATCATTTGTGTAGTCCTGCTTTGGCTCTTAATTCCTGCTTAGTGTAGTTGGTAAATAAAACCAAGACACAACATATAGAAGAGCAAGAAGTGTCCTTGGGAGGCCAAGCGTGGTACTTCTTTAACAGAGGATGATTCAGGAGAGTGAGTTAGTCCTTCCCAGAAAATGTTTGAGAGCACAGACTCTGGAATCAGGCTGCCTGAATTCAACTCCAGATACCCCACTTACTATTAGGTTGGTGCAAAAGCAATTGCTGTTTTGCCATTACTTTTAATTGTAAAATCTACAATCACATTCACACTAACCTAATCGCTGTGTGACTTTGGATAAACTACTTAACCTCTCTGTTCCTCAATTTTCTCAACTGTAAAATGGAACTAGTAATGATAACCTACCACACAGAGTTGTTATGAGGAATAAGTTAATATTTGTAAAGTGCTTAGAAGATTGCCTGGTACATAGTAGTTGCTATGGAAGTGTTTATAAGTAATAAATTATTACAGGTTGTGCAGGGATGATAAGCAGTGGACAAGGACACATTAGAGTGTGTAGGATCTGTTGCCAATAGTGTTACTGCACAACAGGGCCCCAGAAACTGGTGATATTACTGAGGCCTGATGGGATTCTCCACTGTTTTTCCTAGAGTCACTTGTAGATAGGTCTGGCTCTTTAAACTAAATGAACTTTTATTTGTATGGTGGTGAGGGCATAACTTTTAGTTTAGTTCTGTAGGCTTAACGCATGTCTAATTTGTACTTCAACCTAGTAGATTATTTTCTATATACACAGCTAAATATATCAATTCTTTACCTGTTACATTTTTAGAAAATATTTTTCCTTGCCCTGTAAGTTGTTTGTTCTTTTTTTGTGTGTGTGATTTTGACATTTTTAAATGCATTTTGAATATTTATGTAGTTAAGTCTTTTGGATTTTCCTTTTGTGATTTCTTTGATTGCTTTTGGGCTCTGAAATTCCTATTTTAAGATTAAATTTTTAATTTTATTTGCTGGGCAAGAAATTCTAATGCAAGTCACAATGCTGGCAAAAAGACAAATACAGTCGTGATTGGATGCAAATATCAGCTCAAAGTCTCATTAAGCTAAAGAAGTTAATTGAGTAAATTCTTGACTTGACTTGCCGACGATTTCATCTCTCAGAAAGTAAAAAAAAAAAAAAAGCCATGAGGGAAACTTCTATTCTTAACTTCATAATCCCCAGAAAAGAGTTGCTTAATGAAGTGTAAATGATGAAAATTTTGTTGAAAGTAACCATGTGATAGGGTAGAGAAAGTGTGATGTAGTAGTTGCATGTTATAGATGAGAGGTGGCAAGCCCCTTTCTTCCTACTTGTAGGCCAATGGCTGGCATCAGTAATTAATCAAACAACTTTTTTTTTTTTTTTTTTGCTGAGCTTGAAAATAGCTTTAAATGCTTCTCCATCCAGTTCTTCAGAGAGCTACTATCAACAGATTGAGTTGACAGGTGGGAGAATGTTTATTTTCCATAACTTTTCTAGAGTAAAATGTTGTAGATTTTTAAAGCCTCAAAAAATATGTAGGTTAGGAGCCCATATTTGTTGTGACAATACTTGTATGACATATTATATGACAATTTATTATATAGTCACATTGTACTTGTCTCATCTAATTACAATGGATTCTTCACCTGACAGTCTCTCCTGGATGATAAAACCCTTGATGATAGGGACTATGCCTTACTCCTCTTCGAATTTGTGGTGTCTTACATAAGGTCTAAGTGGCATATCAAACTCATTCAAAAATGCTGAATCAAAGAGCTGCTGGCTGAGCGCAGTGGCTCACTCCTTTTATCCTAGCACTTTGGGAGGCTGACAAAGGAGGATGGCTTGAGCCCAGAAGTTTGAGACTAGCCTGGGCAACATAATGAAACCATCTCTACAGAACATTTAAAAATCAGCTGGATGTGGTGGCACATGTCTGCAGTCCCAGCAACTGGGAAGGCTGAGGTGGGAGGATCACTTGAGCCCGGGAGGTCAAGGCTGCATAGTGAGCCGTGATTACACCACTGCACTCTAGCCTGGAGGACGGAGCGAGACCCTGTCCCCTATCTCCCACAAAAAACAGCTGGTAATAAATATAAAAACATTTTATATATTTACATGGATTTTTATATATTTAAAAACTATGTTTTGTACTCATTGTTTTGTTTGATTGTACTTTCTACTAATTTCAGACAGGAGGGAAAACTCCATCAAAGGGTCAAAATGCCTGGTCTTTGAAGATAATTTTCAATTTAAGACAAAAGTAGGGCATGCTGTTTTTGTGGTACTAATGTAGCACAAAACATTATTTATGAAGGAAGACTAAGATATATTGGCTAAATATTGAGAAATAGCTCACAATGTGAGTGGCAAAAATTGGTCTTTGGAACTATGTCCAGCTTCCTGGCTTCATTTTCTCTGAAGTGGGTCAGCTTGATAAAGTCTTGAACATAGTTTTACAAAGATATTAATGATGCTCACTAAATTGTGAAAAAATTGTTCATGCTGTTTTACTAGTATATATTGAGTTCTTTTTATTTTTTTTCAAAAGGAAAAAGTCATAATCCAGGCCAAAGTGAGCAAACTCCCAAGAGCATTCCTGGTCAGCACCGCAGCAAATCCGTGGCAAGTGCAGGTAATTCATTCTCATGACAGTGTCCAGAGAGTAGGGCTAAAATGAAAACAGCGGTGAGTGATGTGGTGCTGCTTCACCTTTTTCACTGGGGAAATATGAATATAAGAGAAAGTAATTTGTGCAGAAGTAAAATGGAGGTGTCTTTAGTTTGTGAAAATCCCTGGTGCCCCTAGTCATTCCTCTATACCATGAAACTCCCACAGTTACTATGCCCTAAAGAAACATTATTTGGACTGGCTAAACATAGGACTGAAAAAGAAAAAGAAAAAAAAGGCAAACAGTGAAGGGTGAAGGAACCATAGCCTCAAGATTGCAGAATAACAAGTCAGAAAAAGTAGAAATTAGAAATTCCACTGATGATAATATTATGTTGAAGGTGATACTTCAGGAGATCAGTTTTGTGGTTCTTTTCATTATGGACTGAAAGGGGGAGAAAAGTACTCTAACCAAAGGCTAGCAGTTAAAAAACTCAACTCCAAAGGCCCAGGTGTACGCTTATAATGTTCTGAGCTACAAGAGTGGCAATATAAATGAAAAAGATGGCAACAAAAATGCTACCAAGAGAGCCATACTAGGGCTCATGGACTATATAGATATAGATGTAAGGGAGAGGGGGAAACAGCATGCCATCTCCACCAGATGCCATGGTTTGGTTTTCACCATCAGGTAGATGGTCATTTTACTGTTAGACAAATTACTCTAAAGCAAGACTCTGGTTCTAAAAAGAAAATAGAAAATGTTCCATTTCTTTCTCTTGGTTGCTATTCCCTTTTCCTCATATTATTTTATCATTAAGAATATGCAATTAAGAGTCAGCACAATGTGGTGAATATAGCAGTGAATTGACTTGGGAGTGCCCCATACAACTTCCAATTCTACCGCTGAAAAACTCTGTGAGTGACCCTCACTAAGCCTCAGTGCCCACAGCTGTAAAATGAGATTGGACTGGACAATCTCTGAAGCCCCTTCCATTTCAAAATTTCTATATTGACTTCTCTATGGGTTGTAATATTTCCTTAGGATATGAAATATGATGAAAATATGGCATTTCTGTGAAAGGTGTTGCCTCCTTAAAGTGTACTGTTTTTCTTTGACCTTTATCATTTCATTGGCATCTACCTTTATCAGAAAGCCCTTTAAGTTTTAAAGACTTCCATAAATTGCAGTTTGTGAACCCAGGGAGATGGAAAGATCAGAAGAATAATTTAATGCTTTTGCAGGCAGTTGAGCAGGCCATGAAAACAGAAAATGAAACTAAGTCAACAAGCAAACTGATGGATGCCACACAGGCTAAGGGGTATTTTAGCAGGAGAAGTAATGTCACTGTGCCAAACCATATGGAGCATTAAACCCAGGGAGGACGTCGGCACAGGCCCTGAATATGGATGGAATTCAGCTCATTCCTCTTTAACCCTCTGTCTACATTCTCATTTGTCAAACTGAACAAAGATTAAAGTAACAACAAGGTGAATAATGAGGAGAAGGAAAAATAATACTTGCTCTGATGATTTAACCTGAAACTACAGTAAGTGAAAGTCACAGAAAACACCTTTGAGTGTTTTCATGTGTGCCGACCTTAAGTCAGGCAGATAGATCTGTGACTGCAGGAAGGTTCTCTTCTTGTCTAGTTTCTGTCCATTTTTCTTAGAATCAATAGCTAAACTTTTTTTAATCTTGGAAACAAATCACTTTTCCTAAATTAGGACTAAAGTTCAAAATAAAGGTAATTCCTAGAGGTGATGACATTGACTTAATTCATACTGAATTGTGAGTGAATGATAGCCGATTTTGCCTGAAACAGTGGAAAAGCACTGCTATGTCTCTGAAATCAAGAATGCTAGACACAGGGGAGGAAAGACTATTACGAAGAGAGATTGGAGGCCTTGAGCAATCCCCGTGCCTGTTTTGCACTTTGCAAATGCTGACATATTTAGTCCTCAAATTAGTTGTTCTAAGCTGTCTGTGGAAATCATTTTTGTGTTGATGATTTCTGTTAGCAAATAAAGATTTCTAGATATTTTCCCAGTTCCTGAATTCCTCTGCCCAATGCATCAGTCTTGGCACTTCTCTGTTGGTAGAAGTAAAATGAACAAAATGACACCTGAAAGAAAACAAGGAGAAAGAAACCAAGGTACACCTCCTACTTAGTAAATCTATGTTGTCTTCCCAACCTCCTGTTTCTCTGGGCCTGCTGGGTGAAGCCTCTCTAAGAACAAATGCTCCCATATGAGAAATGTCCAAGAATCAAAATTATTGGAAAATGAACCCCAAAATGCACTAAATTTCTGGAAGCATAAATATATGCCTTTGTTAAGTATCAGAAACAACTTAATCATTGGACTTAAAGATTTACTTTGAAAGCAGCCAGTTAAGTCTTTTGAACACCACACACTGTTCTTTATTATTACTGCTAATTGAAAATCCATAAATGTGAACTAAGCACCTTTTTAGTAAAGGGGAAAAAATGAGTTCAGCTAGTGTGGTTTGAAAAGCAGCCCAGATGCTGCTTTCTAATGATGTCTTAATGTAAAATTATCAATAGAACAGAAAAAAACGTATTTATGTCATGCATTTAAAGAAATGATGACTCAAGAACACAGGGCTTGAATGAATGGCATCTTCGTTTGTGAACTTTAGCAGACCTTTATGATATTTTCAGCAACCTTTAAACCGTCATGAGAATTAGCTCAGCATGTGAAAGAAATTAGGTCAAAGTTTTAAGGAAAACAGGATGAGGGGAAAATTGTTTACATGGAAAGCATGAGCAATGGCAGGAGTCTTGCCCTTCTTTTGACTGTCAATTGAAGTGATGATGTGGAGGTGGGGAGTGGAGAAAACTGGTCAACAAGACTCAGGATGTTGCCTGAGCCCAGCTGCAAAATGTACAACTGCAACATGGCGGCTTTACGGCTTGACTAGACTAGCCTTGGGATTACTGATTTCTATTTCCAAAAATTCACCAATTTGGTGAGTGGGAATAGAATAATTGAATTTTTAAAACTTTTTTTTTTTTGAGACTGAGTCTTGCTCTGTTGCCTAGGCTGCAGTGCAGTGATGTGATCTCAGCTCACTGCAACCTCCACCTCCCAGGTTCAAGCAATTTTCCTGTCTCAGCTTTCCGAACAGCTGGGACTACAGGCACACGCCACCATGCCAAGCTAATTTTTGTATTTTTAGTAGAGACAGGGTTTCACCGTATTGGTCAGGCTGGTCTCAAACTTCTGACATCAGGTGATCCATCTGCCTGGGCCTCCAAAAGTGCTGGGATTACAGGTGTCAGCCACCATGCCCGGCCTAAAACTTTTATAATAAAATAATTCTAGATTTATAGAACAGTTGCAAAAGTGGTATAGAGAGTTCCCATATACCATTCAGTCAGCTATTTTAATGTGACTATTTTATGTAGTCATGGTATATCATAAAAACTAAGAAAGTAACATTGGTATAACACTATTAACTAAACAGACATTATTTGGATTTCCCCAGTTTCTACTAATGTTCTAATTTATTTTCCAGGATTAAATCCAGTACCCGACATTGCATTTAGTCATTGTGTCTCTGTATTTTCCCCCATTCTATGATGGTTTCTCAGTCTTTCCTTATATTTCATGATCCTGACACTTTCAAAATAGAATGTCCCTCAATTTGGATCTGTCTTATGTCTTCTGATGATCAGACTGGGATTATTATGGGTTTTGTTAAAGACTACCACAGAGATTAAGTGTCCTCACATTGCCTCATATCAGGATTACATGACATCAAATGACTTACTGCTGGTGATGTTAACTTTATCACCTTGTTAGGCTGGTGTCTGCCAACCTGGTAAAATTGTTATAAAAATAACTTTTTTTAACCTTTCATACTCTATTCATCAAAAGTCTCTATTCATTAAAAGTGATTTACTAAATTCAGTGCACCCTCAAGGGGAGGGGAATGAAGCTCCACCTCCTGAAAGGAAGAATATCAAAGAATTTTTGGACGTATGTTAAAACCACAGCAAGTAATTAATACATATTTTGAAAAATGCACCTTGAGGCTTAGCAAATATGTTGCATATCTATAAAGCTTTGTCCACTAATTTTGGCATTCATTAGGAATCTGCCTATAGCAATTATTTGTGGGGTGTTCTAATGTTGATTTTCTGTTTCCCTCATTCCTTCTATATTTCTTCATTGTAATTCATCTGCAAAGATGATTTGAGTCTTCTCTCCCATATATTTATTCAATCATATATTTCTATCAGTATGGACCCATGGAGATGTATTTTATTTAGAGGGTTGTAATTTAATACTATCATTTATTTAGTTGTTCAAGTTGTTTCAGTTTTGGCCGTTGGGAATTCTTTCAGGTGGCCATGCTCTCATTAAAATACATTTTCCCTGTTACTTTGCAGTTGTAGAAATACTTCAGATTTATCTTGTATCTTCTGTATCCCAGCCTAGAATCACCCATTTCTCAAAGGATTCTGTTTCTTTCCCTAGATACTGGTACTTAGAAACCAAGATATAGATGCTGGGTATACTCAATATTGCTGCAGTATCACTGCTTGTAGGCACTTTCAGTAGACAGCACTAAGGATTATGTATATGGATATGTCTATGTATACACATGCAACTCACGTACACACACATGCTACATTTCTGTTTCTATCTAGTACGTGTGCACACACATATAAATAAACACACATATAAATAAACACACATTCATAGAGTCATCATCAGCTCTAATTCTGTATCACATGGTTTTTATCCCGTTGTTATTTGTAACTTCTTTCTCTGACAGTGAGGAACCTAGTTTTTATTCCTTCAAATATATTTACTTATTTACTCTGTGCTAATAAATATAATTTCAGAATTGCTAAATTGTACTTCTGTGAGAAACAAATTTACTGACTAAAATACAATATTTGTACACTTTATCTTTAACTTTAGAGTACCCAGACAAAACAGTTTTTCAGCTATTTAGATCAGCTCCTTTCTTCCCCATCCCCTTCAGCGAGCTGACATCTTACATTTGTAGTACAATCAGATTGTTTTGTTACAGTCTGAACTCTGTCCTGGGTTCCCCCACCATCCTAACTGATTGTGTGTGAGTGTATGTGTGTGTGCAAACAGTAAAAGTTGCACTTTTGTATTATACACATCTATAGGTGTTTACAAACATTTAGTTCTGTATCCACCGATAGTACCACAGAGCCCAGTTTCATCCCCCTCACATCTCCCTTGTGCAGCAGCTTTGTACTTTGTACTCAATCCTTCCCCTTTCCCCAAGAAGAAATCTTTTTTTCCTTTTAATTTTTATTTTTATAGTAATAGGGTCTCACTATATTGCTCAGGCTGGTCTTGAACTCCTGGCCTCAAGTGATCCTCTAGCCTCAAGTGATTGTCTTGTCTCAGCACACCAAAGTGCTGAGATTACAGGCATGAATGAGCGAGCCACTGCGTCTGGCTCAAGTCTGTTTTTCATTCCTATAGTTTTGTCTTTGCCAGAATGTCATCAAAATTGAAACCCAACATGCAGCCTGTGGGGTGTGGTTTATTTCGCATTGCAAAATGCATTTAAGAATCATCCATGTTGTTGTATGAATCAGTAGTTAGTTCCTTGTATTGCTGAATAGTATTCCATTGTATGGATGTACCACAGTACGTTTTTATATCTAGCTGTTGGAGAATAACTGGGTTGTTTCTAGTTTGTGGCAGTTATGAATAGCTTTGCTATAAAAATTTACATATGAGTTTTTGTGAGAAAATAGTTTTTAAGTCACTTGGGTAAATAAATACCTGTGAGTAGGATTCCTGATTGGTTATTTTAACTTTCCAGGAAACTATCAAATTGCTTTCCAAAGTATCCATACATTCTTATCAGCAATGTATGAATGGTCTGTTTTCTCCATATCCTTTCCATCATTTGGTACTGTCAAGTATTTGTTTAAAAGACTTAATTTTTTAAAGCAGTTTTGAGTTCACAACAAAATTAAAAGTCCAGAAGTTTCCCATGTATTCCCTATCCCCAACACATGCATAGACTCCCCCATCATCAAAATCCTTCACCAGAATGGTACATTTGTTACAATTAATAAACCTACATTGACATATTATTATCACCCAGAGCCAGAGTTTACATTAGGGTTCCCTCTTGTATTTGTATTCTGTGGGTTTGGGCAAATGTATAATGATATGTATCCACCATAATACTATCATACAGAGTACTTTCACTGCCCTAAAAGTCGTCTGTGCTCCACCTATTTATTCTCCCAAACCCCTGGCAACCACTAATTTTTTAATCCTTTTTTTAGTTTTGCCTTTTTCAATATATCATATGGTTGGAATCATATAGTATGTATCCTTTTTAGACTGACAACTTTCATTGACTTTTTAAAAATTTTAACCATTCTGATAAGTGTATAGTGATATCTCATTGTTTTATTTTGTATTTCTTTAGTGAGTAATGATGTTGAAAATATTTTCATGTGCTTTTTGTCACCCATATATCTTCTTTGGCGAAGTGTCCATTCAAATCTTTTTTCCGTGTTTTAATTCACTTGTGTCTTCTTATTGGATTTTACGGGCTCTTGAGATATTCTGTATACAAATCACTTATCAGATATGTGATTTGCAAATATTTTCTCCTAATCCGTTGCCTCGCTTTTCATTCATTTAACAGTGTCTCTTAAAGAATAAAATTTTGAAGTTTTATAAATAAAATTATTGTACTAAATAAGTTTTGCTTTTAGTGTTATATGTAGAACTTTATTACCAAACCAAAGGGCATGCAGATTCACTCTCATGTTATCTTCTGGAAGTTTTAAAGTTATATGTTTTACAGCTAGGTATATTATGCATTTTGAGTTATGTTCTATATAAGTTATGTTGAGGTTTTTTTTATGTAGATTTCCAATTGTTTCAGCACCATTTGTTATCGTAACTGTCCTTTCTCCACTGAATTACCTCTGCCAAAAAATCAGTTGATAGTATTTGTGTGGGTCTATTTCTGGGTTCTCTATTCTGTTCCATGATCTGTTTATTTATCCCTTCACCAATACAACTGTCTTGATTACTGTGTAATCAAACTGTGTTTTATTTTTGCCTTTTTCTATGCCTCTTAATTTATTGATAAAAGCAAAAGCTTTATAGTAAAACTAATAATAGGCAAGTGTATGTCCTCCAACTTTGTTCTTCTTTTCCAGAATTGTTTTGGCTTTTAGTTCCTTTCCCTTTTCAGATAAATTTTAGAACCGCCTTGTCAATATCTACAAAAAGCTTGTTAAGATTTTGATTGAAAATGCACTTAATGTATAGATTTAATAACACCAAGACTTAAAATCCATAAATATATTTTATTTCTTTAGTTATTTAATTTTCCTTTGTTTTCTTCCATTATATTTTGTGTGTTTCAACATAAACTGTACATATTTTCTTTAATTTATTTTTAAGTACTTTATTGTTTAGGTACTATTTTAAATGATGTTTTTAAATTTCAAATTTTAATTTATCATTAGTAATATATAGAAATGCAACTAACTTTTGTATATTAACTTGTAGCTGTGTTCTTATAAAATTTACTTATTATTTCTAGAAGCATTTTTATAGATTGTGATTTTCAATGTACACAATCATGCTGTCTGCAAATAGGAAGTTTTATTTCTTTTTTTACAATTCATATGCCTTTTATTATTTTGTTTGTTTGTTTGTATTGCACTGGATAGAGCTTCCAGCACAATGTTGAATACAAGCCGTCAGAGAGGACATTCTTGCCTTGCTCACATTTTAGGGGGAAAGCCCTCAGTCTCTTACAATTGAGTATGATGTTAGCTGTAGGGTTTCTGTTTGTTTGTTTTGTAGATGCCTTTTATTAGGGTGAGAAAGTTCCTTTCTACTTCTGTCTTACTGTGAATTTTTAAAAAATTGGTAACGAACTATAAGTTTTGTCAAATGCTTTTTATGCGTCTGTCGTATCATGTAGGTTTTCTTATTTAATTTACTAATAAGTTGGATTATATTGATTTTTGAACGTTGAACCAACACTGTGTTCTTGGAGTGAACTCTGCTTGGTTATATTATTTGTTTATATATTATTTTATTTGATTTCTAATATTTTGTTGAGGATTTTTGCTCATGAGGAATATTTATTTGTATTTTTCCTTTCTCATAATTAAACATACTTTTACATTTCTATTGTATGACTATGATACATGTTGGTGTGTTTTTAGGTATTTATCTTGCTTCTCATTCTGTGGGCTTTGAGAATCTGTGTGTGTGTGTGTGTGTGTGTGTGTGTGTGTGTGTGTGTGTGTGTCATCAATTCTGGAAACTTCTCATACATTACCTGTTCATATATTACTTCCACATCATCCTCTCTTCTTTTTCTAGAATTCCAATTATGTGCATGTTAGGCTGTTAAATATTATGCTACATCTATTGGATGCTGTTCTTTTACTTTTTACCCCTTTTATTTCAATTTGGGTATCTCCTGTTGACCTATCTTCAAGTTTACAGATTCTCTTTATAGCTGTATTGAGTCTACTGATGAGTTTGCTAAAGGTATTCTTTATCTTTGTTATATTTTTGATTTCTAGCATTTTCATCTCTCTGTTCTATCTCTCTGTTGAAATTACCTATCTTATATTACTTGTTGTTTACTACCCTATAATGTCATAATCAGTTACTTTGAAAATTTCCTTCCTTCTGCTTGCTTTGGATTTAAGTTGTTCTTTCTCTACATTTGTAAAATGGCAATCTAGTCTGAGCCTGATTGTTTTTTCTCTTCAAACTGTGTTTTATTTTTGCCTTTTTCTATGCCTCTTAATTTATTGATAAAAGCAAAATATACATGTATCTATATATAGGACAGCATACACTGAGATAAATATATTTCATGCTTGGAAATGAGCACATCTTTCCTTCTGCTGTGCCCTTAATGTAGAGGTTTATGTTACTAGTATCAGCAGTTCAGCTGGGTTTGAAGTCTGTTGCTGTGGGTCCCATCAGTGCACCAAAGGGCTCAAGTTTTTCTTGTGTTTAGGGTGTAGATTTGTATACCATAAAGTTTTTCTCAATGTATGTTTCCCAGAGAAAATTTGTCTCCTGTAGTTCTTTCAGAAGTATTTTCCCGCTATTTTTGCTCAGTACTTGTCAGCATGGTGGTAGGAGCTATAAGAAGGGAAACATTTTCTGATGTTATGATTAAGCTTTAGTTTAAGGGAGAGACTGGGCATCTGGGGGGTTCCAAAGTGCTCCTCCTCTAGCTGTAGCACTGGGCTTGTATTTCAAGAAGATTTTGTATTTTTGTTTTATTACACTAGATGCCGTAGGCTTCAACCAGTGTACTGAGGTGACAGTCTTTGTTGCACTTCCCTCTGCAGATTCAGACTTTCTACCAGGGAGATGGGCATGATGGATTTGGCGAGTTTGGGCAAGGACTGCTGTTTCCTTCCCTGAGCTGCCACTTGGGAAGCTTTCTCAGGATGCTCTCTGATCCCCACTGCAGACATCTGGAGGAGATTATGGAGGAAAACCATGAAAGAGGCTAAAAAGCTCCCTAGAGTTGCATCCCCCAGAGACCTCACACTCACACTAGTCTCACATTTGGCCTCAAGCAAGTTTTCCACAATTTCTCACTGAGTCATTTTTGTGGCTTATGTGTTTTCTGGTGGCCTCTGCCACAGGTAAGCAAATGTTGAGGCCCTGTTCCTCCCTGCAGGCACCTGACCAGTTCTCATGTGGGTTCAAGAAAAGGTGTTAATTAGCATTTTATCTGGATTTTTTTTTCTTATTTTAAGGGCTGAAAGAATGCTCTTTCCAGCTTTCTACATTTGTAAGGTGAAACCAGGAAAACTTGGTCAGTTGAATTTTGATGTGCTTTTCAGCTCTTAAATTCTGTGGTTATAAGTCATTGACCTCTATGTGGTTTTTTTTCTCCCCTCTCATCTCAGGTACATGTTGTGAAAATATTTATAAATGGTTTGAGATTTTCAGAGAAAGACTATAATAATGTCTTTTTAATCCTTTTATTGGATGCTTCAGGTATTTTGAGTGGTAAAACTCTCATTTATAAATAACAGTTCTAATATTCCTCACTGAAATTATTCCTCTGTAGAGTACCTGATTATAATGATTATTTACCTTCCTGTGGTAACTAGATAACCAATCAAGGACTGTTTCTTTCTCATGTTTGGTTCAGCATTCAACACAAAGCCTTGAGTATTGCAGATTCTCAATCTATATTGATTGATTATATGGATTAATGAATGAACAAAAAACTGAATACACCCCCAAATAGTTACAGCATTAAAATTAATGACAAATAGTCAAACGTACTATTTGAGAGGATTGTCACATTCCAAGTGATTGTGCCAAGCTAAAGGATATAGGAACAAAAATATCCATTCTGTACTGTATCCATTCAAAGTCAATCCAGGAGGCCCAAGTCCAGCCCAAGCACATTATAGCCAGAGGAGGAAACCACTTCTCCAGCAAAAAAATCCCATCATGTGCCTACTTATACCCTAAATGATTTAAAGACAAAGAACTTTATATTCGAAAATCAATTTAATCTCAGATGAAAGGAAATGAGACTGAGATCATATTATTTTCCTGTCATAGCAATTGATAAAGAGGTAATCTGGACAAAAAGCAGAAAACAGAGAAATGAGCCATGGCAGTGTGAAAAACAACTTTGTCAACTTTATATTTCTGGGTGGAACTTGCTACTGTCCCTGTAGGTGGGTTACTAATCTGAGCTACTGCAGGGAAGTGGCTCTGGCTTGATGGGTTATTCAGGGAGCACACAGCATTGGACTCTTTAGGATGGCTTTAATGACTGACCCTGTGCCATGCTAAGCTGGAGTGGCTCCTGCATGAGCCTCTGGGTTTTACTCAGGTATCAACTTAGCTGGTGCAGAAGCAGAGGCAGGGTGGTTTCCTTCAGTTGAATACAAGTTCTAGAGTCTTCCAAGAGTACTGGGGATGGGAGTGGCAGGACATATAATATTCATGCTAAACTAAAAGTCAGTCCATTGCTGCCACTCTGCCTACATAAATTGGCAGCTCCTACCTACCTGCTTTGAAGAACTAACATTTCTGGAGCAACAGCTGAGTTCAAAATGAGAAGTCACTGTAACCATGGTCAGTCTTTAACTGTGGGGGCAGAGTAAACATGAAGATAATTAAACACTGCTGGGGTTTTATCAAGCAAGGCTGAAGTAGTAAGGAACTATGGCTACTGTGGCTTTATGCAGAGAAATGATTTTGTTTATGGACCATCAAATCTAAGTTTGAAAAAAGAAAGTGTGAATATGAGCAGGGTTGTAGGATTAAAGGTTAGAGTTGTTAGTGCATAGAACTGTTTGAATTGAGGTACCAGAGGGGTGAACTGGAAGCAAAGGATGCAGTTGTCAGATATTAGGAAGATTAAAATTGAGGTTATACAGTGGATACAATTATTGGTAATGACAAGGTTACAATCATGAGGTAGTTGGGCTAGTGGATGTGATCATGAGAGGAGATGAAGTCAAGAAGTTGAGAAATCACAATATTGGAAAGATTACCTGTGTAAATGTTGAAATTACCAAGAATTATGATGACAGTAGTGTTTGAAAAAGAGCAGTTGCTGAAATCTGCAGGGAATGAGGTCTATATTAAGGTCTGCAAATGACTGTATCAAGGAGGGTAGAGTGTGGTATAGTCTGACACAGAATCTTCAAAAGAGCTGCGGCATACCAAAGAAGGAGAAGAAAGTAGCTTTATAAGTAATCCATTGGCATAAGGTGTGAGGGAGAGAAAACAGCCACTACTCAATAGGGATTCTGGGAAAGGGGCCTCAGGGGAAAGCAGATTTTTGGTGGAACAGAAAAGTGAAAAGAGAATATTATGAAAGAGTTTGAAGCTCTAAGAGATTTTTCCTATGGCAGACTTTAAAAAGTTTGGAGGTTTGAGAAGGAGTATAAAATTGAGTCAGATTAGGGGATGTAGAAACCTTTATGGTGTGAGAATCCAGGTGATGACCGACAATCTGAAAATTTTGTATTTCTTGCACTCTAAAGTTTGAGAGTTTCTTAGAAAGCATGTGGTCCTGAGACGTTTGGGTCCTGTCAGGCTATAAAGGAATCTGTATGAGTCTCCACATCAGTCACACTGATAGCTCTATCCAAACTAGTACAGGTGATTCCTGAGGTAGGAATTATTCTATTTCATAGAAAGAAACAATGAAACTCAAGTAAGTTAGATGATTTGACACATAATACAGTGTGGCAGGGCCTGGACTGAAGCCAGATTTGTCTAATCTCAAAATCTGTGTTCTGGAAAGTCTGTCGGCTACTTTCACTTAACTGCAAGCCTCCATTTTCCCTTTGGGTTTTCTCTTTATCAGTTTTTAAGGGATTAATGTTTTATTAGTCTACTAACAGAGTGACATTTCTGGTAGCATGCTTATACAAATAACACATGGCAACTGCAAATTTCTTTTTACTTTTCTCATTGAGTATCATCACAGCCTAATGACATTACTACTCCATGCAGTTATTCAGGCTTTCATATCACTAAACTGTATTAAAATGCTTTACCTCATTAAGCAACAAGTAGACAGACCATAGGCATAATACCCTTTTAATTCTTACTCAGGTTGGGGAAAAATGTATGTATGCTTTTGGTAAACTTACAGAAAGATTGGGAGGTGAACAGAGTAGGATATTGTATTTGAAATTCTTGAATCATGGCATGTAAACTCAGTGAGGGCAGAAGTTTTGTTTTGTTTTCCATCTATTCTCAAAGTGCCCACCACAGTGAATGAATTGGCATTTAGGTTGTTTCCATTTTACTGCTGTTACAAAAAAAATGGGATAAATGTTCCTGTCAACATCTTCTTGAGAGAATATGTAAGGGTTTCTATAAATTGAAAAACCAGAAGTAGAAATACTGGAACCACAGGCATATACACTTTATGATTTTTAGATACTACAAAACTATTTGCTAAAGAGATTGTTAAGAGTGTAAGAGTTTACACTCTTAACAATGATGTAAGACACTTCCCATTTGTTGTCATCTTAACCAGATATAAAAATTTGCCTATCTTATAGGTATGAAATATACCTATTGGATTGTTTTAATTTGTATTGATTAATAACAGGTAATTAAGGCTGAATTCTTTATGCTTATTAGCTATTTAGGTTTCCTCTTCTATTGCCTGTTCATACCATTATCAACTTTTCTATCTGTTGATTTTCTCTCTTTCTCCTTCTTTTTTTTTTTTTTTCAGTTTTGCCTTGGATGGGTTCTTTATATATTTTAGATCCAACTTTTGGTTTATTACATGCATTTTTTTTTCCTTGAATGAAGTTTTTTCCTTGAATATTTTCCTTGAATATTCCTTGAATCTCTTTAAACCTAAGAAGACTGAACAGAACTGAAGTTTTAAACATTGATATGCTCACATTTATCAGTCTCCTAAGGTTTATGCCTGTCTCTTGGTTAAAAACATATTTTTTCTATTGGCTCATTAAAAGATACTATCATTTTATGTTTTAAAGTTTTACTTTTAAAGCAGATTAAATTTATTTTTTTAATTGTGTATGAAATAAATATTTTATTTTTTTCCATAAGGATGACTTGTTTTCTCATTTTTGCTTATTGAGTAGTCTATCTTATTCTCCAGTTGCAATGCCAACTCTATTATATTTACCAAAATTCTATGTATTTATGAGCCTTCTTATAAGTGCTGTATTCAGTGTCATTAGTCTACTTTTCTGTCCTTGCTCCTTGTCACAGAGTTGTAACAATTTGCTATTAATTGTCATCAGATTTTAGATATGTGGTATGATGATCCTCCTGCTTTATCCCTTGTCATTTTTTTTCATTTCTTGGCCATATATTCTTTTATTCAAATTGTAATATTAATTTATCAACTTCCTTTAAAAATATTTGGAAGGTTTTGAAAATGTCACAGATTTATAGATTTATTTTGATATATCTGGCCTATGTGATATTGACTTTTTCATTTCAGGTATATGATGTATCTTTTTATTATTTAGGCTTTTATCTCCTTTTAACAACAATTCATATTTTTCTTCATAAAGTTCTCATACATGTTTTATTTCTTTTTCTTTTATTATTGCATTGGCTGGAATACTATTTAACAATGTTAAATAGAAGTAATGATAATTAGCATACTTCCCTTTAATTTTGGAGAGCATGCTCCTTACATTTTACTGTTGAAAGGTATTTGTGCTCTAGGCTTTTGTTAGATATCTTTCATCATATTCAGGAAATTTAATTTATTGTGAGTATAAGGTTTTTTGAAATCATTAATGGTTGTTGAATTTTAGGTAATAAATCTTCCTGCACTTATGAGACAACAAATAATAACTTTTAATGAGTTAATGTATTAAATTACTTAATAGATTTCTTAATTATAAATCATTCTTTCAGATCCAGAATGAGTCTTCTTTGGTCATAATTAATTTAAAAAAATATTTCTGGAATCATTGACTAATATGTTATTTAGGATTTTTGCTTCTGTAATAAAGCATAGCTTATAAATTTTCTTCTTTGTACTTTCCTAATCCATTTTATGTATGAAATATATATTATTATTTCTAAAATAAGTTGGAGAGCTCTTGTTCCTTTTTCTAGCCCATAAAACAATTTATATAAATAGAAGTTTTTTCCTTGGAAGGCCTGCAAAATCTGTGAAATTGTATGAGTCCTTTGCTTTTATTTGAGGGCAAGTTGTACGACTGATGTGATTTCTTTAATAGATCTAGTCAGTGTTTAATTTCTTTCTTTTTTTTTTTTTTTCACCCTGTTCTAATTTTATTTCTGTCTTTTCTTCCTGAAGAAATGACCTAACCACCCAGGCTCACCTTCACATATTCATTGCCATTCTGTGGCTCTTCTGCCTTTAGGAAGTGTGGGGCACCAGGGACTCCTGTAATGACATGAACCTGACCGAGGGCTTGTGCAGCTGCCAGTTATTACTTTGGCTATTACACTTTTCCCTGCCTTTGTTGTTTCTTTGTTTGTTTGGGGCAACAAAAACAAGACAGGCAATCAGACATGGCCCAGATTCTCAAATGTGCATTCTTGTCACAGCTGGGCCTCCATTCTAAGTCCATCTTGCATTGAGGCAACATGTTTATGCTTAGTGTAGTGCTTGGCATGTTGTAAGAGCTTATTAAATGCTTCTATCAGAAGAGTCATTTTCAAAATGTCACTTTTACTATATTACTCTCTTGATAAACTTTTTTTTTTATTATTATACTTTAAGTTCTAGGGTACATGTGCACATTGTGCAGGTTAGTTACATATGTATACATGTGCCATGCTGGTGCGCTGCACCCACTAACTCGTCATCTAGCATTAGGTATATCTCCCAATGCTATCCTTCCCCCCTCCCCCTACCCCACAACAGTCCCCAGAGCGTGATATTCCCCTTCCTGTGTCCATGTGATCTCATTGTTCAATTCCCACCTATGAGTGAGAATATGCAGTGTTTGTTTTTTTGTTCTTGCGATAGTTTACTGACAATGATGATTTCCAATTTCATCCATGTCCCTACAAAGGACATGAACTCATCATTTTTTATGGCTGCATAGTATTCTATGGTGTATATGTGCCACATTTTCTTAATCCAGTCTATCACTGTTGGACATTTGGGTTGGTTCCAAGTCTTTGCTATTGTGAATAATGCCGCAATAAACATACGTGTGCATGTGTCTTTATAGCAGCATGATTTATAGTCCTTTGGGTATATACCCAGTAATGGGATGGCTGGGTCAAATGGTATTTCTAGTTCTAGATCCCTGAGGAATCGCCACACTGACTTCCACAATGGTTGAACTAGTTTACAGTCCCACCAACAGTGTCAAAGTGTTCCTATTTCTCCACATCCTCTCCAGCACCTGTTGTTTCCTGACTTTTTAATGATTGCCATTCTAACTGGTGCGAGATGGTATCTCATTGTGGTTTTGATTTGCATTTCTCTGATGGCCAGTGATGATGAACATTTTTTCATGTGTTTTTTCGCTGCATAAATGTCTTCTTTTGAGAAGTGTCTGTTCATGTCCTTTGCCCACTTTTTGATGGGGTTGTTTGTTTTTTTCTTGTAAATTTGTTTAAGTTCCTTGTAGATTCTGGATATTAGCCCTTTGTCAGATGAGTAAGTTGCGAAAATTTTCTCCCATTTTGTAGGTTGCCTGTTCACTCTGATGGTAGTTTCTTTTGCTGTGCAGAAGCTCTTTAGTTTAATTAGATCCCATTTGTCAATTTTGTCTTTTGTTGCCATTGCTTTTGGTGTTTTAGACATGAAGTCCTTGCCCATGCCTATGTCCTGAATGGTAATGCCTAGGTTTTCTTCTAGGGTTTTTATGGTTTTAGGTCTAACGTTTAAGTCTTTAATCCATCTTGAATTGATTTTTGTATAAGGTGTAAGGAAGGGATCCAGTTTCAGCTTTCTACATATGGCTAGCCAGTTTTCCCAGCACCATTCATTAAATAGGGAATCCTTTCCCCATTGCTTGTTTTTCTCAGGTTTGTCAAAGATCAGATAGTTGTAGATATGCGGCGTTATTTCTGAGGGCTCTGTTCTGTTCCATTGATCTATATCTCTGTTTTGGTACCAGTACCGTGCTGTTTTGGTTACTGTAGCCTTGTAGTATAGTTTGAAGTCAGGTAGTGTGATGCCTCCAGCTTTGTTCTTTTGGCTTAGGATTGACTTGGTGATGCGGGCTCTTTTTTGGTTCCATATGAACTTTAAAGTAGTTTTTTCCAATTCTGTGAAGAAAGTCATTGGTAGCTTGATGGGGATGGCATTGAATCTGTAAATTACCTTGGGCAGTATGGCCATTTTCATGATATTGATTCTTCCTACCCATGAGCATGGAATGTTCTTCCATTTGTTTGTATCCTCTTTTATTTCCTTGAGCAGTGGTTTGTAGCTCTCCTTGAAGAGGTCCTTCACATCCCTTGTAAGTTGGATTCCTAGATATTTTATTCTCTTTGAAGCAATTGTGAATGGAAGTTCACTCACGATTTGGCTCTCTGTTTGTCTGTTGTTGGTGTATAAGAATGCTTGTGATTTTTGTACATTGATTTTGTATCCTGAGACTTTGCTGAAGTTGCTTATCAGCTTAAGGAGCTTTTGGGCTGAGACAATGGGGTTTTCTAGATATACAATCATGTCATCTGCAAACAGGGACAATTTGACTTCCTCTTTTCCTAATTGAATACTCTTTATTTCCTTCTCCTGCCTAATTGCCCTGGCCAGAACTTCCAACACTATGTTGAATAGGAGTGGTGAGAGAGGGCATCCCTGTCTTGTGCCAGTTTTCAAAGGGAATGCTTCCAGTTTTTGCCCATTCAGTATGATATTGGCTGTGGGTTTGTCATAGATAGCTCTTATTATTTTGAAATACGTCCCATCAATACCTAATTTATTGAGAGTTTTTAGCATGAAGGATTGTTGAATTTTGTCAAAGGCTTTTTCTGCATCTATTGAGATAATCATGTGGTTTTTGTCTTTGGCTCTGTTTATATGCTGGATTACATTTATTGATTTGCATATATTGAACCAGCCTTGCATCCCAGGGATGAAGCCCACTTGATCATGGTGGATAAGCTTTTTGATGTGCTGCTGGATTCGGTTTGCCAGTATTTTATTGAGGATTTTTGCATCAATGTTCATCAAGGATATTGGTCTAAAATTCTCTTTTTTGGTTGTGTCTCTGCCTGGCTTTGGTATCAGAATGATGCTGGCCTCATAAAAAGAGTTAGGGAGGATTCCCTCTTTTTCTGTTGATTGGAATAGTTTCAGAAGGAATGGTACCAGTTCCTCCTTGTACCTCTGGTAGAATTCGGCTGTGAATCCATCTGGTCCTGGACTCTTTTTAGTTGGTAAGCTATTGATTATTGCCACAATTTCAAGTCCTGTTATTGGTCTATTCAGAGATTCAACTTCTTCCTGGTTTAGTCTTGGGAGAGTGTATGTGTTGAGGAATTTATCCATTTCTTCTAGATTTTCTAGTTTATTTGCGTAGAGGTGTTTGTAGTATTCTCTGATGGTAGTTTGTATTTCTGTGGGATCGTTGGTGATATCCCCTTTATCATTTTTTATTGCGTCTATTTGATTCTTCTCTCTTTTTTTCTTTATTAGTCTTGCTAGCGCTCTATCTATTTTGTTGATCCTTTCAAAAAACCAGCTCCTGGATTCATTAATTTTTTGAAGGGTTTTTTGTGTCTCTATTTCCTTCAGTTCTGCTCTGATTTTAGTTATTTCTTGCCTTCTGCTAGCTTTTGAATGTGTTTGCTCTTGCCTTTCTAGTTCTTTTAATTGTGATGTTAGGGTGTCAATTTTGGATATTTCCTGCTTTCTCTTGTGGGCATTTAGTGCTATAAATTTCCCTCTACACACTGCTTTGAATGCATCCCAGAGATTCTGGTATGTTGTGTCTTTGTTCTCGTTGGTTTCAAAGAACATCTTTATTTCTGCCTTCATTTCGTTATGTACCCAGTAGTCATTCAGGAGCAGGTTGTTCAGTTTCCATGTAGTTGAGCAGTTTTGAGTGAGATTCTTAATCCTGAGTTCTAGTTTGATTGCACTGTGGTCTGAGAGATAGTTTGTTATAATCTCTGTTCTTTTACATTTGCTGAGGAGAGCTTTACTTCCAAGTATGTGGTCAATTTTGGAATAGGTGGGGTGTGGTGCTGAAAAAAATGTATATTCTGTTGATTTGGGGTGGAGAGTTCTGTAGATGTCTATTAGGTCCGCTTGGTGCAGAGCTGAGTTCAATTCCTGGGTATCCTTGTTGACTTTCTGTCTCGTTGCTCTGTCTAATGTTGACAGTGGGGTGTTAAAGTCTCCCATTATTAATGTGTGGGAGTCTAAGTCTCTTTGTACGTCATTCAGGACTTGCTTTATGAATCTTGGTACTCCTGTATTGGGTGTATATATATTTAGGATAGTTAGTTGTTCTTGTTGAATTGATCCCTTTACCGTTATGTAATGGCCTTCTTTGTCTCTTTTGATCTTTGTTGGTTTAAAGTCTGTTTTATCAGAGACTAGGATTGCAACCCCTGCCTTTTTTTGTTTTCCATTTGCTTGGTAGATGTTCCTCCATCCTTTTATTTTGAGCCTATGTGTGTCTCTGCACGTGAGATGGGTTTCCTGAATACAGTACACTGATGGGTCTTGACTCTTTATCCAATTTGCCAGTCTGTGTCTTTTAATTGGAGCATTTGTCCATTTACATTTAAAGTTAATATTGTTATGTGTGAATTTGATCCTGTCATGATGATGTTAGCTGGTTATTTTGCTCGTTAGTTGATGTAGTTTCTTCCTAGTCTCCATGGTCTTTACATTTTGGCATGATTTTGCAGCGGCTGGTACCGGTTGTTCCTTTCCATGTATAGCGCTTCCTTCAGGAGCTCTTTTAGGGCAGGCCTGGTGGTGAAAAATCTCTCAGCATTTGCTTGTCTGTAAAGTATTTTATTTCTCCTTCGCTTATGAAGCTTAGTTTGGCTGGATATGAAATTCTGGGTTGAAAATTCTTTTCTTTAAGAATGTTGAATATTGGCCCCCACTCTCTTCTGGCTTGTAGGGTTTCTGTTGAGAGATCCGCTGTTAGTCTGATGGGCTTCCCTTTGTGGGTAACCCGACCTTTCTCTCTGGCTGCCCTTAACATTTTTTCCTTCATTTCAACTTTGGTGAATCTGACAATTATATGTCTTGGAGTTGCTCTTCTCGAGGAGTATCTTTGTGGCGTTCTCTGTATTTCCTGAATCTGAACGTTGGCCTGCCTTGCTAGATTGGGGAAGTTCTCCTGGATAATATCCTGCAGAGTGTTTTCCAACTTGGTTCCATTCTCCCCGTCACTTTCAGGTACACCAATCAGACGTAGATTTGGTCTTTTCACATAGTCCCATAGTTCTTGGAAGCTTTGCTCATTTCTTTTTATTCTTTTTTCTCTAAACTTCCCTTCTCACTTCATTTCATTCATTTCATCTTCCACCGCTGATACCGTTTCTTCCAGTTGATCACATCGGCTCCTGAGGCTTCTGCATTCTTCACGTAGTTCTCGAGCCTTGGTTTTCAGCTCCATCAGCTCCTTTAAGCACTTCTCTGTATTGGTTATTCTAGTTATACATTCTTCTAAATTTTTTTCAAAGTTTTCAACTTCTTTGCCTTTGGTTTGAATGTCCTCCCGTAGCTCAGAGTAATTTGATCATCTGAAGCCTTCTTCTCTCAGCTCGTCAAAGTCATTCTCCATCCAGCTTTGTTCCGTTGCTGGTGAGGAACTGAGTTCCTTTGGAGGAGGAGAGGCGCTCTGCGTTTTAGAGTTTCCAGTTTTTCTGTTCTGTTTTTTCCCCATCTTTGTGGTTTTATCTACTTTTGGTCTTTGATGATGGTGATGTACAGATGGGTTTTTGGTGTGGATGTCCTTCTGTTTGTTAGTTTTCCTTCTAACGGACAGCACCCTCAGCTGCAGGTCTGTTGGAGTACCCTGCCGTGTGAGGTGTCAGTGTGCCCCTGCTGGGGGGTGCCTCCCAGTTAGGCTGCTCGGGGGTCAGGGGTGAGGGACCCACTTGAGGAGGCAGTCTGCCCGTTCTCAGATCTCCAGCTGCATGCTGGGAGAACCACTGCTCTCTTCAAAGCTGTCAGACAGGGACATTTAAGTCTGCAGAGGTTACTGCTGTCTTTTTGTTTGTCTGTGCCCTGCCCCCAGAGGTGGAGCCTACAGAGGCAGGCAGGCCTCCTTGAGCTGTGGTGGGCTCCACCCAGTTCCAGCTTCCAGGCTGCTTTGTTTACCTAAGCAAGCCTGGGCAATGGCAGGCGCCCCTCCCCCAGCCCTCCTGGGGCCTTGCAGTTTGATCTCAGACTGCTGTGCTAGCAATCAGCGAGACTCTGTGGGTGTAGGACCCTCCGAGCCAGGTGCGGATTATAATCTCGTGGTGTGCCATTTTTTAAGCCCGTCGGAAAAGCGCAATATGCTGGTGGGAGTGACCCGATTTTCCAGGTGCCGTCTGTCACCCCTTTCTGTGACTCGGAAAAGGAACTCCCTGACCCCTTGCGCTTCCTGAGTGAGGCAATGCCTCGCCCTGCTTCGGCTCGCGCACGGTGCGCGCACCCACTGACCTGCGCCCACTGTCTGGCACTCCCTAGTGAGATGAACCCGGTACCTCAGATGGAAATGCAGAAATCACCGTCTTCTGCGTCGCTCACGCTGGGAGCTGTAGACTGGAGCTGTTCCTATTTGGCCATCTTGGCTCCTCCCTCGTCAGTGTTTTAATTTCTTACTGAATAAATTTTTTTCATTTATACTTTTTCCACAAATTTATCCACGTAATTCACATTTTCAAATTTGCTAGCATAAAATTATTTCTAACAGCTTCTTATGTTATAATATTTACTTTTGTCTGAAAATGTGGCCTTCTTTACATTCCTAATACTGATTCTCTTCCCTGCTGCTCTACCTTCACCTTCTACCCCCACCTTGGTCACATTGGAAGAGTCTCACTATTTTGTCTTAACAAATAACTGGCTTTTTGTTTAGTTTGTTTTTTTATCTTCTGTTACATTAATTTCCACTTCTATTTTGATCATTTCTTCTCATATACATTCTTTAGGTTCACTTTTCAGTGGATATTTTTACTTCTTGATACGGTTTGTCTCTGTGTCACCTCCCAAATCTCATCTTGAATTGTAATAATCCCCACATGTCAAAGGCAGGACCAGGTGTAGGTAATTGAATCACGGGAGCAATTTCCACCATGCTGTTCCCCTGATAGTGCGTTCTCAGGAGATCTGATGGTTTTATAAGCATCTGGCATTTCCCTTCCTGGCACTCATTCTTACTGCTGCTGCCCTGTGAAGAGGTGCCTTCCACCATGATTGTAAGCTTCCCCAGCCATGTGGAACTGTGAGTCAATTAAACCTCTTTTCTTTATAAATTACCCAGTCTCAGGCAGTTCTTTATAGCAGCATGAGAACAGACTTATACACTTCTTAAATTTGCACTTTCTCATTAATTTTTAATCTTTCTTTTTTCCAATGTACATTTAAAGTTATAAATTATCTTTTAAATAACACTTTAGCTGTATTCCACAAGTCATGATATATAGTGTTTTTATTCTACTTCAATTATTACTATTTTTAATCATTTTAATTTGATTTATTCTTTGATCCATGAATTATTTGGTATTTTATTTTCATTAATTTTTATTTTATGGAATTGCACTAAAAGAAAATTGTCCGGATTTTTAAAAATTATTTGATAATTTTTGAGACTTCCTTAGTGGCTTAGAAAGATTTGAGGGGGATGGTTTCCATATGTAGGTTTATATGTTTTTATACATAATTCTTCTACATAAATGTGGTTGGTCTTTGAGTGTTATTTGCTACTTTTGGCTGCTACATTTTTTATTTCTGAGAAAAATATGCTCAAATCTCCTAATATTTTGTGTTTGTCTTTTTCTACTTGTAATTATGTTGATTTTTTTTTTTTTTTTTTTTTTTTTTTGCTTTACAGATTTCAAGTTTATAGTGTTAGATGCATACAGGCTCAGGATTTTTATGTTCCTCTGGTAGCTTTCTCTTTTTATCATGCAATGAATCCCTTTCATCTCTAATAATGCTTTTGTTTTTAATTATAATTTTCTAGTATTAATATGGCTGCCATCTTTATTTCATTTGTTTCTGACAATTCTTATTTTATGTCTTTATTTTCAAACTTTCAATGTCAACATATATTATCTTACGAAGTGAATATACTTGGACTTCTTTTAAAAACCCAGTGTCACTTGTAAATAGTCTATTACTGGATTTTAAAAATTCAGTCAGAGCTTTTTTTTAATTATTGAGTTTAATTTGTTTACATGTATTACAACTACTGATCTATTAGGCCTTATTGCTGCTATCTTATTTTGTATTTTCTAGATATCATGCTTTTTATTTTTATTTTTCAAATTTCTATTAATTAGATTAGATTATGTTTTAAATCTCCTTTTTCCATTCTCTATTGGTTTGGATGTGATACCTTATATTTCTGTTATTTTCATGGTTTTCCCTAAAATTTTAAAATATATATTTGCTCTAACAAATTATAAAATTAACATCCAGATATACTTTTTCAAACGATGGAAGACCATTTATATTGTTTTAACTTTAGTCTCCAACTCTCATATTCCATGTTATTATTTTCTGGCGTTTTTATCCTTCCTTGTTTTAAACTTATTTCCAATTTTAACTATTGATTTTTTAAAAGGCAATTCTTATTTTAAATATTTTATCATACTTGCCAATTTGTTTGTTTACATTGCTTAAAACAATCCACTCTTTTTCTTATATTTAATTGCTTTTTACTAATGTATACCTTTTAGTAGTTTTTTTATAGTGAATATCTGTGTGGAAAATTATCTCAGTGTGTGTCTAAAAATATCTTTATTTCCCTTCTTAACTGATGGTTTAATTCTTGGAAGTTAGTATTCCATTGTCCTTTGGCCTCTAATGTTGCTAATGAGAAGTTTGTTTTAAGTATTCTGCCTTTTCTCTCATTGATTTTGTAATTTTTTGTACCTAACTTTAATGTTTTCCAGCTTCTCTACTGTTTTGACTCACTTTTATTTATTTTCCTCTAAACTCACTGTGCTTCTATAATCTAGGAGTTCACGTCTTCCATCAGTTATTGAACATTCTTGGCCATTATCTCTCTTTGAATGTGGAAAAACATGGTAGGAGCCAAATTATGACCACAGAAGAGAGTATCCTTCCATTTAGTCTTCAAGAGCATTATTCATTAACATTTAACAGTATCCAAGCTATAACAATTTGAAGACAAGGAACAAGGAAAAACATGGGCTATTCAAAGTATAGCCATTGATATGAGTCACAGTTGTAATTTTCAATTTCATCATCTATCAAATTAAGGAATAAACAGTAGATAACACATAGCATCAAATATTCCAGTTGAGTGCTAAGGAAGAAGGTTAGAGGGCATATAATATATTTTTTGATGGATTCATTCATTTTTTCATCTAACAAATGTTTATTAAATATTTTCTTAGTGCTAGGTAATGAGTTAGACTTTTGATATTTGGAGATTATGTTCCAGTTTCGAATACAGACAGAATCAACTCACCCAGTATTTATTGTTCAAAAAAGGCAAAGCCATTTTCAGACAATTTTTCTGTTCATTTTTAGACTTATTAAGGTACCCTTGGAAAAATCTCTTTCAGTACATTTCAGTACATTTGTGCACCATACATATGTCTTCATATGATGTGGCCTGTTGAATTGGGAGATGGGTTTTAAAATGACCTGACTTACTCAAGTTAGGCTTTTTTTATTTATAAAAGTGGAACTCCATGTGAGGTAGTGACAATATCATCTTTGGAAGAATGCCTCTGCACACCTTCCCAAGGCTCAGCTTCTTTAATGAGGAGCTCATTGACCTTGTATACTTTTTCTGTGGAGCAGTCTGAAAATTTCCCAGTTAAAGGAAAATCTGAAATCTTAGATGTTATCACTAATGAATGTAAAAACTAATGGGAGTTTCACTGTTTTTAATTCTGTATCCAGGGAATAAGTTGGATGGTCATAAAGAAAAAGTAGGGTCAAATTTGACTTAAAAAGTTGTGTGTTCTTTTGTGGACAAAATTTCTACTTTGAACATGTTTGTAGGATGAAAGGGGAAGTGTTGGAGAAAGAACTTCTGAAAGCCAATATGCATTAGTCCTGAGTTCTTTCTGTTTTTCTAATCTAACGAAAATACGTGGTAAAAGACCTTGCTTTAGTAGAAAGTCAATAGAATTCAAACCTCAATTTCAAGCTGAGAAAGTCAGCACATCAAAATTTTGTTTTGAAATCTTAAGTGCTAAGAATGAAATATATCATCATTTTTTTTCTGATGCACTGCCCCCACCCCCAAAATGAAACAAAACTCATGCCACCCTTCCCCAAGATTATGATATGACTAATTAGATGATCATTCCCCTCAGCTGAAGATCATGAGCTATAATTTGTATATCCCCACCAGACAAAAATGTTTCATAATGTTTTATGTTTTATTGTATTTTAGTTATAAAAGCAATAGCTTTCTTTACTCTTTTCTCATATATTTCATCACAATATTTAAAATCATTTTTATCAAGTAACACATACACTTCCCCAGGGATTCTGATATGTCTTTTGTGACAGTTAATATCCAAACATATTCTCTAATGAGCCATTCTTCCAGATATTCACAGCATTGCATAGATTCTGTGAATACTAGGAAGATTACTTAACCTGAAAAGGCAAGTAACTCACGAACATTTGCTTTTGGAAGCCCAGATTTGGCATGTACGAAGTCCAACTTTCTTGATTGAGAAGCCGCAGGAGGAGAGGCCCTGAGGTAACGTGGAATAAGAGATAATCCCAGCTGTCCCAGTGTCCCAACTGAACCTAGGTAGAGATAACTTTTGCCTCAGTCACAACATATCTGCAACCATGTCAGAATCTGAGTGGACTGAAATTAGACCAGAAGACTGAGTGAGTCCAGACAGCCCATAAACCATGAAAGATAATATAATTGTTGCTGTCTGACACTACTAAATTTTTGAATGACTTGTCATACAGATATAGGTAACCAGAAATGACCCCCAGTGGGCACTATTTCTCCTGCCTCTCCTCGCCTTTCACATTCTTCTGAAATCACTTATCCAGTGAGATTTGGGGGCAGAAAGAAAGATGAATAACATATTGGCAGAACAGCCATTCTAGAAAAGGAAATCTTTAAGCTATACCTAAGGTATTTGCATTAAAGAGCCAACAGTACAATTGTGCTTTCAATCTCATATTTCTATAAGCATTTATATATATATATATATGTATATATCTGTAACTTTATATCCCAACCTGAGGAAAAGGATCAGAGAAACAAAATACCCAGCATTAGAGACCGAGAAAGTAAGAAGCAAGTGGAACTGCTTCTGGATTTTGGTCCTCAGATGCTAAATTCAACCCTCTGCCTGCTTTCCATTCTTCCTTTTCATTTATTTCTTAAGAAGAAATGACACAGGACCTTTGAAGCTTGAGTTTAACTCTGGAGCCTTAAAGCAGGACTTCTAACCCTAAATGATCTGATTAACCAAAAGGTTTCAACTAACTTTGGTCATTGTTAGATTGTTGCCAAATGCTATTGGACATTCATAATTGTTTGCTATAAGCTAATTATAGGAACAAATAAATACCATTCTTGACTATCTTTTTTTTCAGATTTTTTCCTTCTTTTAAAAATATTCAGCTTACAAGAGAAGTAATAATTTAGAGGGGTCCTGAGTTCTGCTCCAGGTAGCCATGTGACCTTGATCGACTTAACTCAAATGTCTTCAAACCTCAATTTCCCCAGCTATAAGACTAAGGGATTTTGCTAGTTTATTTCTAACGTCCCTTCTACACCTGAAATTCCATATGACATGCTCCTGGATATTCTCCTGAAAATGTGCACATATACACACTACATAAATGCCCATACCCACACCCACACAGAGCTAGTAAAAGGGAAAAGGCCTTATTAGTCCTATATGACTAAACACATAATTCTGATTATTGGATATTGATTAGGGAATCTTTTCATGTGATACTATCTTGTAAGTGGCTGTGATAAATTTTAATATTCTCAATAATAGAGTTCTAATAACATTTTAACAGTAAAATCACAAGGCTTAAAATGCCTGTAGGCAGGTTAGCATGCTTCTACTCACAGGATTAAGGGCCAGTGTCCTGCTATAATGTGTAGTATAACTTAATATAATCCGTCTCAAAAAAGTAATCATATAATCATACCTTTTTAAACAAGCAACCTTGTATTACAATGTTCTGTGATTTTTAAATTTATCATTAAATTAAAAAATCATCCTATTCAAGAAGGTAAAGTATACAAGCCACCATGTTCTCTCTTAGTTTTCTTCCTCTTCTTTCTAACCCTTCATTTCTCTCTTCAGAGGCAGAAAATCTTCTGCAGCATCACTTTATATCCTTCTACCTTGTGGTCTCCCTGACACACCTTTCCTCACCTTTTTAGCATTGAGAATTTTCTCTTTTTTTTTTTTTTTGAGACAAAGTCTCATTCTGTCACCCAGGCTGGGTGCAGTGGTGTGATTATGGTTCATTGCATCCTTGACTTCCTGGGCTCAAGTGATCCTTCCAACTTTGCCTCCTGAGTAGCTGGGACTACAGGTGTGCACCACCACACCCAGCTAATTTTTGTATTTTTTGCAGAGACAGGGTTTTGCTATGTTGCCCAGGCTGGTCTCAAACTCCTGGGCTCAAGAAGTCAGCCCACCCTGGTCCCCCAAAGGACTAGGATTATAGGCGTGAGCCACAGTACCTAGCAGAATTGAGAATTTTCAATAAAAAAATTAATCCATTCATTCTTTTAAAGAAACTGTGTATGTTTCTTTAGTGACTAAGAAAAGTGTGAGTATAATATGAAAAAAGCATTCTGTACCTAGCTAAAATCCTTGTTATGATATATCTCGAGCAAAAAAATTACATTACAAAACAGGATACTTTTCAAATAAAAACAATATGCAAAGAACAAAACTTGAGGAAGAATAATAAGAGATTTTTACTTTTTTTTATTATACTCTAAGTTCTGGGATACATGTGCAGAACATACAGGTTTGTTACACAGGTATACATGTGACATGGTGGTTTGCTGCACCCATCAACCCATCATCTATATTAGGTATTTCTCCTAATGTTATCCCTCCCCTAGCCCCACACCCCTCGACAGGTCCCAGTGTGTGATGTTCCCCTCCCTGTGTCTGTGTGTTCTCATTGTTCAACTCCCACTTATGACTGAGAACATGCAGTGCTTGGTTTTCTGTTCCTGTGTTACTTTGCTGAGAATGATGGTTTCCAGCTTCATCCATGTCCCTGCAAAGGACATGAACTCATCCTTTTTTATGGCTGCATAGTATTCCATGGTGTATATGTGCCACATTTTCTTTATCCAGTCTATAATTGATGGGCATTTGGGTTGGTTCCACATCTTTGTTATTGTGAACAGTGCTGCAATAAACATACATGTACATGTACCTTTATAGTAGAATGATGTATAATCCTTTGGGTATATACCCAGTAATGGGATTGCTGGGTCAAATGGTATTTCTGGTTCTAGATCCTTGAGGAATCGCCACACTGTCTTCCACAATGGTTGAACTAATTTACACTCCCACCAACAGTGTAAAAGCATTCCTATTTCCCCATACCCTCTCCAGCATCTGTTATTTCCTGACTTTTTAATGACTGCCATTCTAACTGGCATGAGATGGTATCTCACTGTGGTTTTGATTTGCATCTCTCTAATGACCAGTGATGATGAGGTTTTTTTCATATGTTTGTTGGCCGCATTAATGTCTTCTTTTGAGAAGTGTCTGTTCATATCCTTTGCCCACTTTTTGATGGGGTTTTTTTTGTGGTAAATTTGTTTAAGTTCCCTGTAGATTCTGGATATTAGCCCTTTGTCAGATGGATAGATTGCAAAATTTTCTCCCATTCTGTAGGTTGCCTGTTCACTCTGAGGATAGTTTCTTTTGCTGTGCAGAAGCTCTTTAGTTTAATTAGATCTCATTTATCAATTTTGGCTTTTGTTGCCATTGCTTTTGGTGTTTTAGTCATGAAGTCTTTGCCCATGCCTATGTCTTGAATGGTATTGCCTAGGTTTTCTTCTAGGGTTTTTATGGTTTTAGGTCTTATGTTTAAGTATTTAATCCATCTTGATTCAATTTTTTTATAAGGTGTAAGGAAGGGGTCTAGTTTCACTTTTCTGCATATGGCTAGCCAGTTTTCCCAACAACATTTATTAAATAGAGAATCCTTTCCCCATTGCTTGTTTTTGTCAGGTTTGTTGAAGATCAGATGGTTGTAGATGTGTGGTGTTATTTCTGAGGCCTCTGTTCTGTTCCATTTGTCCATATCTCTGTTTTGGTACCAGTACCATTATGTTTTGGTTACTGTAGCCTCGTAGTATAGTTTGAAGTCAGGTAGCATGATGCCTCCAGCTTTGTTCTTACTTCTTAGGATTGCCTAGGCTATATTGGCTCTTTTTGCTTGCATGTGAAATTTAAAGTAGTTTTTTCTAATTCTGTGAGGAAAGTCATTGGTGGCTTGATGGGGATGGCATTGAATCTATAAATTACTTTGGGCAGTATGGCCATTTTCACAATATTGATTCTTCCTATCCATGAGCATGGAATGTTTTTCCATTTGTTTGTGTCCTCTCTTATTTTCTTGAGCAGTAGTTCATAGTGCTCCTTGAAGAGGTCCTTCATATCCCTTGTAAGTTGGATTCCTAGGTGTTTTATTCTCTTTGTAGTAATTGTGAATGTAAGTTCACTTACGATTTGGCTCTCTGTTTGTCTATTATTGGTGTATTGGAAAGCTGGTGATTTTTGCACACTGATTTTGTATCCTGAGACTTCGCTGAAGTTGCTTATCAGCTTAAGGAGATTTGGGGCTGAGATGATGGGATTTTCTAAATATACACTCATGTCATCTGCAAACAGAGACAATGTGACTTCCTTTCTTCCTATTTGAATACCCTTTATTTCTTTCTCTTGCCTAACTTTCCCAACCTAGCAAGACAGGCCAACATTCAAATTGAGGAAATACAGAGATCACCATAAAGATACTCCTTGAGATGAGCAACCCCAAGACACATGATCATCAGATTCAACAAGGTTGAAATGAAGGAAAAAATGTTAAGGGCAGCCAGAGAGAAAGGTCGGGTTACCCACAAAGGGAAGCCCATCAGACTAATAGTAGATATCTCTGCAGAAACCCTACAAGCCAGAAGAGGGTGGGGGCCAATATTAAACATTCTTAAAGAAAAGAATTTTCAACCCAGAAGAATTTCATATCCAGCCAAACTAAGCTTCATAAGCAATGGAAAAATAAAATCCTTTATAGACAAGCAAATGCTGAGAGATTTTTTTCACCACCAGGCCTGCCTACAAGAACCCCTGAAGGAAGCACTAAATATGGGGGGTGGGGGGGAACCAAACAAATGATAGCAGTCACTGCAAAAACATGCCAAATTGTAAAGACCTTCAACACTATGAAGAGACTACAACTAACGGTGCAAAATAACCAGCTACCATTATAATGGCAGGATCAAATTCACACATAACAATATTAACCTTAAATGTAAACGGGCTAAATGCCCCAATTAAAAGACACAGACTGGCAAATTGGATAGAGTCAAGACCCATCGGTGTGCCGTATTCAGGAGACCGATCTCATGTGCAAAGACACACATAGGCTCAAAATAAAGGGATGGAGGAATATTTGCCAAGCAAATGGAAAGAAAAAAAGAAAGCAGGGGTTGCAATCTTAGTCTCTGATAAAACAGACTTTAAACCAACAAAGATCAAAAAAGACAAAGAAGGGCATTAAATAATGGTAAAGGGATCAATGAAACATGAAGAGCTAACTATCCTAAAGATACATGCACCCAATACAGGAGCACCCAGATTCATAAAGCAAGCTCTCAGAGACCTACAAAGAGACTTAGACTCCCACACAATAATAGTGGGAGACTTTAACATCCCACTGTCCAATATTAGAGGGATCAAAGAGACAGAAAATTAACAAGGATATTCAGGACTTGAACTCAGCTCTGGACCAAGCAGACCTAATAGACATTTACAGAACTCTCCACCACAAATCAACAGAACATACATTCTTCTCAACATATCACACTTTTTCTAAAACTGACCACATAATTGGAAGTAAAACACTCCTCAGCAAATGCAAAAGAATGGAAATCATAACAAACAGACTCTCAGACCACAGTGCAATAAAATTAGAACTCAGGAAACTCACTCAAGGCCGGGATGTAATCCAGCCTTGTGTGGCTCACACCTGTAATCCCAACACTTTGGGAGACCAAGGTAGGTGAATCACCTGAGGTTGGGAGTTCAAGATCAGCCTGGCTAACCTAGTGAAACCCCATCTCTACTAAATATACAAAATTAGCAAATTAGCTGGGCGTTGCGGTGCATGCCTGTAATCCCAGCTACTCAGGAGGCTGAGGCAGGAAAATCACTTGAACCCTGGAAGTGGAGGTTGCTGTGAGCCGGGATTGCACCACTGCACTCCAGCCTCAGCAACGGAGTGAGACTCTGTCTCCAAAAAAAAAAAAAAAGAAAGAAAGAAAAAAAAAGAAACTCACTCAAAACCGCACAACAACATGGAAACTGAACAACTTGCTCCTGAATGACTACTGGGTAGGTAACGAAATTAAGGCAGAAATAAATAAGTTCTTTGAAACCAATAAGAACAAAGACACAACATACCAGAATCTCTGGGACACAGCTAAAGCAGTGTTTAGAGGGAAATTTATAGCACTAAATGCCCACAGGAGAAAGTGGGAAAGATCTAAGATTGACACCCTAAGATCACAATTAAAAGAACTAGAGAAGCAAGAGTAAACAAATTCAAAAGCTAGCAGAAGACAAGAAATAACTAAGATCAGAGCAGAACTGAAGGTGATAGAGACACGAAAACCCTTCAAAAAATCAATGAATCCAGGAGCTGGTTTTTTGAAAAGATTAACAAAATAGATAGACTGCTAGCCAGACTATAAAGAAGAAAAGAGAGAAGAATTAAATAGACACGTTAAAAAATGATAAAGGGGCTATCACCACTGATCCCACAGAAATAGAAACTACCATCAGAGAATATTATAAATATCTCTATGCAAATAAACTAGAAAAATCTAGAAGAAATGGATAAATTCCTGGACACATACAGCCTCCCAAGACTAAATCAGGAAGAAGTCAAATCCCTGACTAGATCAATAACAAGTTCTGAAATTGAAGCAGTAATTAATAGCCTATCAACCAAAAAAAGCCCAGGACCAGACAGATTCACAGCCAAATTCTACCAGAGGTACAAAGAGTAGCTGGTACCATTCCTTCTGAAAAAATTCCAAACAATAGAAAAAGAGGACTCCTCCCTAACTCATTTTATGAGGCCAACATCATTCTGATACCAAAACCAGGCAGAGACACAACAAAAAAAGAAAATTTCAGGCTAATATCCCTGGTGAACATTGATGCAAAAATCCTCAATAAAATACTGGCAAACCAATTCCAGCAGCACATCAAAAAGCTTATCCACCAAGATAAAACTGGGATGCAAGGCTGGTTCAACATATGCAAATCAATAAATGTAATCCATCACATAAACAGAACCAATGACAAGAACCACATAATTATCTCAATAGATGCAGAAAAGGCCTTTGATAAAATTCAACACCCCTTCATGCTAAAAACTCTCAATAAACTAGGTACTGATGAAACATATCTCAAAGTAAAAAATGCTATTTATGCCAAACTCACAGCCAATATCATACTGAATGGACAAAACTTGAAGCATTCCCTTTGAAAACCAGCACAAGACAAGGATGCCCTCTCTCATCACTCCTATTCAACATAGTATTGGAAGCTCTGGCCAGAGATTTTTTACTTTCTATAGTCTGTCTCTGTAAAGATTACATTTTTAACATCAATTTCTTTTTGTTAGAAGTAGACACCCATTAGAATCCAGAGTTTCTGAGTGAGTGGAATTTGTGGGATATGTTGTTATAAAGAGGATATTTTTGTTGGAGGCTCTAGAAGTCAATGCAATAGCTCCACTCAAGTCATTGGCCAAGTGCTGAGTTGTACATGAACAGGGAGAGACTCCCTAAGTCTTAGAAGAAAGAAAAAGAAAAAGAGATTCTTTTCCTTTCTTTGTATTGAAAAAGAATACAAGAGATTCTTTTTTCTTTCTTTTCTTTACAAGAAAGAAAAAGGAAAAGAGATTCTGGATGTTGTGCAGAGCTGGAAAATGTTAAGCTTCAGCCAAAGCTGAGGAAAAAGGCCTTGGTGAACACCTCAAGCATTTAGTTGAAACCCCAGAAAGGCCACACTTTAAACAAGGAGCACACACTAAAATAACAGATCTTAGGATTAATGACTCAAATGAAATAGAGCGCCACCCTAAAAATCATAAAACCAAGCCTCATATGATCAACAGAATCCACTAGTAATTTAACTGCCTAGTACAGCACATCTCAATATCCTTTAAACAAGTCCAGCCCCCCTCAACTTAACACTTTCAATATCCTATATTCAATCAAAACTTACAAACTTGTGAAGGAATGGGAAAATGTAAGCTACATCATAAATAGACCATATGATGATTTAAATGTTGAAATTAGCAGACAAGGACTTTTAAAAAGTAGTTATAAATATGTGCAAGGAGTTAAAGAAAAAGATGAATATAATGAGTTGAGATAAGAATTCTCAGCAGAGAAGTAGAAACTATTCAAAAAATCAAAATCCAAGAGCTAAAGAGTACAATTCTGAATGAGAAAATCTACTGGGTAAGCTTAACAGATTAGGCACAGCAAAAGAAAGATTCAATAAAATTAAAGACAAACAAATAGAAATTCCCAAACTAAAAAACATAATAAAAGAGTGAAAAAAATAAATGTAGCATTAATATACTGTGTGACAATATCAAGTGGCCTAACATATATATAATTGGAGTCCCTGAATGAGAGGAGACAGAGTTTGGAACAGAGAAAATATTTGAAGAAATTATTGCCCTAAATTTCTCAAATTAAATGAGAAAATGTTAGTTTTCAGACATAGAAAGCTTAGTGGCCTAAAAGTAGAATAAATACAGAGAAAACAATATGTAGGTTAGTCATAATACAACACTAAAAACCAAAGGTTTAGTAAAAATCTTAAAAGCCACCAGAAAGGGGGAAAAGAAACCCTCTATATTATACAAAGGGGAATAATGGTAAGAATGATGCCTAAGTTATTATCAGAAAAATGGCAGACAGAAGATAGTGGAATGTCTTTTTTTTTTTTTCCTGAGACTGAGTTTTTACTCCTGTTTCCCAGGCTGGAGTGCAATGGTGCAATCTCGGCTCACTGCAACCTCTGCCTGCTGGGTTCAAGCGATTCTCCCACCTCATCCTGCTGAGTAGCTGGGATTACAGGAGCCCACCACTATGCCTGGCTAATTTTTGTATTTTTTTTTAGTAGAGACAGTGTTTCACCATGTTGGCCAGGCTGGTCTCAAACTCCTAACCTCAGGTGATCCACCTGCCTTGGCCTCCCAAAGTGCTGGGATTACAGGCATGAGCCACCGTGCCTGGCCCCAGAAGATAGTGGAATGTTACCATTAAAATGTTCACAGAATGTAATACCAGTCAACCCAGAATTTTATATCTAGTAAAAATTTATCTTCAAATCTGAAGATGAAATAAAGACAAATAATTAGAAAAAAATAGAAAAATGAAATAAAATGATTACATTTACAAGAGTATCAAAAGATATCAAATACATAGGAATAAACTTAATGCAAGATTACTACATAAAGATCTACAAATTACTTCAGTAGTAGAAAATACTACTGGAGTAATTAAATAAATCAATATATATGGAAGGTTATATCACATCATGAATCAAAATAATGTAGTACAATTGGCCCAAACCAATCTGTGGATCCAACTTAATCTCAATTGGAATTTCAGAAAATTTACATGAGGGGTGGTGCATTGACAAGGTGATTTCAATTTTTTTAAAAAATTTCTTCTAAAAAACAAATGTGATACATGTGTAGAATATACAGATTTTTTACATAGGTATACATGTGTTATGGTGGTTTGCTGCACCTATTAACCCATTCTCTAAGTTCCCTTCCCTCAACCCCCACCCCACAACAGGCCATAGTGTGTGTTATTCCCCTCCCTGTGTCCATGTGTTCTCAATGTTCAGCTCCCACTTATGAGTGAGAACATGCAGTGTTTGGTTTTCTGTTCCTATGTTAGTTTGCTGAGGACGATAGCTTTCAGCTTCATCCATGTCCCAATTTTTAGGGAAATGCAAGGAGTCATAAAAAGTCAAAACAACATTTGAGGAAAAGTTCAATTTGGGGGACTTATACTGTGAATTATCAATAATTTTCTTGTCTTTTGTGACAGGGTCTCACTCTGTCACCCAGGCTGGAGTGCAGTGGTGCAATCATAGCTCCCTGAAGCCAAGAACTCCTGGGCTCAAAGGATCCTCCTGCCTCAGCCTCCTGAGTAGCTAGTACTACAGGGGTGTGCCACCACACCTGGATATTTTTATTTTTGTAGAGACAAGCTCTCACTATGTTGCACAGGCTGGTCTTGAACTCCTGACCTCAAGGGATCCTCCCACCTTGGCCTCCCAAAGTGCTGGCATTACAGGCATGAGCCACTGTGCCCAGACATCGAGAATTATTTTAACACTACAGTGATTGAGACAGTGTAGTACTGGTGCAAAGATAGACAAATACACCAATGAACATGTAATGTGATACAGAAGAGATTCACACAATTATGGAAACTTGATATGCGATAAGGTCTACTACACAAGAGTGGGTAAAGATGGTCTTTTCAATAAGTAGTTCTGCGTCAATTGGATCTCCCCGTGTCAATAAATGAATCTGGAGAGACCCGTATCCAAAATTCAATTTCAAATTGGATTGAAGACCTAAATGTGAAATGTGAAACAATAAGATTTGTAGAAGTTAACAAATGATAATATCTTCATGAGCTCTAGGTGAGCAATGATTTCCTAAACAGGACAAAACAAATTAATTATAAAGACAAAAGACTGACATGATGGGCTTTTTAAGAATGTAGAATGAAAAAGCAAAGCATACATTGGGAGAAGATATTTGCAAAATGTATTTCTGACAAATAATTCATATATAATATATACTAAGAATTCCAAAAAATCAACAAGAACTGACGGACAAATCAATTAAAAATAGGCAAGAGTCTGCAGGGCACGGTGGCTCATGCCTGTAATCCCAGCACTTTGGGAGGCCGAGGCGGGAGGATCACGAGGTCAGCAGTTCGAGACCAGCCTGACCAACATGGTGAAACCCCATCTCTACTAAAAATACAAAAAATTAGCTGGGCATGGTGGCAGGTGCCTGTAATCACAGCTACTTGGGAGGCTGAGGCAGGAGAATGGCTTGAAACTGGAAGGCGGAGGTTGCAGTGAGCCAAGATTGCACCATTGCACTCTAGCCTGGGCAACAAGAGCAAAACTCCATCTCAAAAAAAAAAAAAAAAAAAAAAAAGGCAAAAGTCTTAAATAGATACTTCACAAAATAAGATATTCAAATGACCTATAAACAAACGAATAGGCACTCATTCTTATTAGTTAATAGGAAAGCACAAATGAAAACCACACTAAGATGTCATGGCATATTCATCAATAGCACTGCTTTAAAATAAAACAAAATATAATCTGATAATACTAATGGCTGGCAAAGTCATAGAGTAACTAGAATTGTTAGTATAACCATTTGGGGCAACTCTGGAAGAACCTACAAAAGTTTAGCATAATCGTACTCTATGTTGCAGCAGCTCTACTTTTAGGAATATATTTAATAGAAACCAAAAGTACATACAAGAATGTTTTTAGCAGTCCTTTTTTAAAAACCAAAACCAAAACTGAGAACAAATGTCTATCAATAATGTTAAATAGATAAAAAATTGTGGTATATTCTTATTTATAAACTCTTATTAATAGCCCAATTGCATGAAGAAATGTTTTTCTCAATCTTTTCTTTTTTTCTAATTATACATCAGTGAAAAAGAGTGGACTACTACTATAAGCAACAGCATGAATAAATTCCACACAATGTTAAGTAAAATAAGCCAGTCACAATGGAGTACACACTATATGAATCCATTTGTATAAAGTTCAAAAACAGGCTAACCTAATTATCTGTGTTCTACAGGTTAGAATAGTGATGAGTTTTTGGGTGAAGCGTGCCTAATAATTTGGAGAGGATGCAAAGAAGGTTTCTGATATTGTTATAGTTCCATTTGAATGCTGGTTACACAAGGCTGTTCACTTTGTAAAAAATTACCAAGTTGTACACTTATGATTTTCTGCATTATGTTTGTGCAATTTTCTGCATTATGTTTTACTTTAATACAAACTTTAAAGTGTTGTAGAAAGAATGGAAAAGAGGTAGTGGGAGGGAAAGAGAGAGGACAAGAAAAGAAGAAAGGGGTAGAAAGAGGGAATAAAGAGAAAAAAGGAGAAAGGAAGGAGGAAGAAGAAACAAGGGAGGAAAAAGGAGGAAGGGAAGGAAGGAAGGGAGGAAAAGGGAAGGGAAGGGGAGAGAAGGGAAGGAGGGAGTTGGGGCAATTTGATAGCTTATATAGTAAATTATCTTTTATACTAACAGATAATTTAGGACCATCAACACTCACAAAGACATATTCCTTATTTAGAATACACAATTGTAGAATCTTAGAAGTTTGGAGTCATCCAAATTATACCCTTACTTCTAAAATGCATGGTTGTGAACATCACATTATAAGAAAAGAAGAAAACCTGATCCAGTTAATAATGAGAAAGAAATAGAGGCTTTCTGGTCAGGTATCAAGACCATAATTCTGTGGAGTAAATTTTATATGCACGGAATAACTCATATGAGGCTTATTAGGATCAGGTCTCAAAAAAGATGTGTTTACTCAATGACTTTTTCTCCTTTTTTCCAAAACCTTTGACTTTATAAAAGTTTTTAGAATGGTTTCATTTCATAGAAAATGTGCTGTGAATCTCCATCATTAACAGATGTCAAAGGGTGGAGGAGTGGGCAAAAGGCAGAGAGCTGTGAGTTTCAGCTTGAAAAGACAAGCTACCTCAGCAATATAGACACATAAACCTCAGTTGCCCTTGACCATGATTAGTGTAGAAAGCTGCAGCCAGCAGTGCCCTAGCAACAGAAAGATCTCATGCTGTTCTCCAAATACAAGTCACCCTCCCCGTATTTTGTGGAAAGCCTTTGATGTTGATTTGCAGATGGATATCCTGGACTTTTTCTTTTGCTTATGCAAACAGAACAAGGCAATTTGGGTTTTCTTGGCAAAATTGTCAGATGTTTTGCATTTGGCCACAAAAATTAAGTAAAATTTTTCTTGCTCAAAATTCTGCTACTGGTCATATATTAAAACACATACATATGTATACTCACACAAGATTACCATAAGTAGAAAGAAAAAATAAATCTATAAACCTGATTATAAATAAATCAGATATCTGTACAAAATATTCTTAAAAAAACAAAACTCATGAAAGAATGTTTTCCTTAATCTGTCCTGTCATTTTTTTAAAAATTGTATATTCACTGTATATATCCCAAACTCTGACTCAATTTAAAAGGAATTAAAAATTGTCTATTTCTTAAGAACAAACTTCTTCCTAAAATGTTTTAGCTATAACTGTAAAATTATTATCAGTGTTCAAATAAACTACTCCTCAAATTCACAGTTTTTTAGTGGTTTGACTGGTTAGAATAGAAAGTCCACGCTTCTCAGTTTATAATTTAAATATAATTCAAATGTCATCTGGGGTCACTCTGTACCTTAAAATCTTGATTAAATTGGTTCATAACTTCTTTCACATCTTTTAGAAAGCTTACCAGTGTCTTCACATTCAGGGCATGAAGGAAGAAGAAAGGGAGAATGAGAAGGCTTTTGTTCTCATGGTCCCTTCTGGCTCTGATATTCTGCTTCTGCTGAATTAGTTTATAAATTCCACATATGCATTCTGTGTTCCACCGAGCATCACCCCAAACTTGGAACAGAACTTTTATGTGGTTTCATAAGCTCACTTTCTTTTCTCTATAGATAGAAATGTATACAAATACAAATAAAATAAAATATTAGACATTCTGTCCCGAAAATACCTTTTAGCTGCCCTGAAAGGCATCCTGCCTTCCTGTCTCTTCCTTTTCCCACCTCTTCTCATATCGTACCTCCTAATTGTACATAGAATTCTATATTCTTATCATGTTATTATGAAGACACTTTCAGCTCTTTCCAGATTTTCCACCCCCTTTTCATATCAGGAGTACCTCAAGGTGCTCAGCCAAGCAAGAGGGCTCTCTACTCCCTTAGAAGCACAAAGCACAGGCAGTTACTCTCAGATTTTTCTCTAACCAGACCCTTTTTTAAGAAGGCAAGAGTGGATTTGAAGTGTAGTTGTTTTCCCCTCTTTTATATACAGTTTTCTGCAGTCTGGCTTCTTCACCTAACTTGCCAATCTAACTTGGTTCCACTAAGTCTGAAGGAGGGAAGGAGTCCTATTTATATTTATGCCCTCTGCTGCTGAATCAGTGGCCTGTTAAAAGTAGTTGCTAAATAACCATATTCCTCAATTGACTGTGAGCTATCACAGAGTACAGTATATAGCTGTACTTGACTGGTATTCTTCAGTGTCTGGCTCAGGGCTTGACATGTAGAAAATACTCAAGGCAGATGTGTTGGATTTGACTTTGAATGGTGATTTGTTCATGATTACAATATGTTCATTTTCACAGTCCAGGCAGAACAACTCATGAAAGTGGCTCAATAAGAAGAGCTCCAAGCAAGGGGAATGCTGTTCTGTAGAATCCACTGGAGTTATCCAGCAATTTACTTCTAGCTCCTAACAATACCCATCAGTTTAACTTTTGGCCCCTACTGGCTCAGTTCTAGTATTTAATTGTGGGTTTCCTTTACTGAGTGTGGCTAACAATTCCTATTGCTCTCCCTTGGATGGCAGACCACTACCCATCCACTTGTGCATGTATACCTGGGTGGCACCAATTCTCAGCAATTCTGCTTTCCAGACCTGCTCACACTCTGTAGTACAACAACACTGTTCTGACACCAACAGCTGACACTGTTCTGCTGGAGCCTTTCTATGTTTAGGTAATGCAGTGAAAGGCTTTGCCCTACTGATAGAAACAACTCTTTTTGGACAGGCTATAAAGTCTGTGGGTACATAACACATTCATTTCTTCCTGGTTGGAGCGTCTCGTAAAAATTTATGACAATTTTGGAGAATTATGGGTTTTTTACATGTTGATCATTGCCTACATGCAGGCTCCTGAGTCTTGTGATCTATAATGTGAAGGTGGGTTGACTTCACAGTCACCTTCCAAATTGGAGACAAATGACTGACCAGCATAACAGGTACATAACCAGAGTTCCTTACTCATGAAACGGAAGTTTTCTGTGAGGCTGAGAGGTCCTAAAGGCGTGTTTTTTAGGAAGATGACAAATGTTTTCTAGCTGTATAAAGGGTGTGATTCCATTCTCCAGCACTCTAACACCTCCTTCCTGGTCCAGGAGCTGACGCTTTTTGATTCTGTTTAGTATGGAATGAATGAACTGGAAGAATTAAAGGGGATAGCATTTTGTATTTACACACCTAAGAAGGATACAGTACCTCAAATAGGTAACTTTGATATCAATTCACATAGCTCTTATGCTGTAAAATCATCACCTTATAGTGAGCTGATACAGCTCCCCTTGGGCCAACTTTGTGAAATGATTGGCAGGAGGCCTAACTATTAAATCAGGCCAGCAGGTCATTTCATAGAAGCCACTATAAATAATTTTGGGTCCTGGTTAGGGAAGCAATTCAGGGCCACCCTGGTCATGTTGACTTATGAATCCACATTTTTTTTTTCAGCTTTAGCATTCCTATGCAATTTTCTGAAAATGATAGTTGAAATCAGAGTGGGAGACCAGCTCACTCTCCATAGGTTTTATGAACTCAGGACCTCAAGTTATAAGAAGTAGAAGAAGGAGTTGCAGGAAGAGAAGGAGAAGAAGGAGGAGAAAGAAAAGAGGGAGAGAAGCAGTAATATTTATGGATCAATTTCTATAGAATGCCAGGTATTTGTCCTGTATTGTTGCTAATATTCACAACTATCTTGCAAGACAGGCATTATGGTTCTATTTTAAGTGAGTAATTTATCTGTAGAGAAAGGAAGTAAACTATTCAAGGTCATATAGTTAGGAAGTTATAGAGACAGGACTCAAATCCACGTCTGTCTAACTATACAATACACATTCTTTTCACTATTCCATAATGTTCATGAAACCAAAATAGATCTTTTGCATATGCAGAAACCATTCAAAGTGATTTATTCCTATTCTGCCTTTCCTTACAACAATCCAAAGTGTGGTTGTTCATCCTGGCTAACACGGTGAAACCCCATCTCTACTAAAAATACAAAAAATATTAGATAGGCATGGTGGTAGGTGCCTGTAGTCCCAGCTACTCGGGAGGCTGAGGCAGGAGAATGGCATGAACCTAGGAGGCGGAGCTTGCAGTGAGCCGAGATCGCCCCACTGCACTCCAGCCCAGGCGACAGTGCAAGACTCCATCTCAAAAAAAATAAAAATAAAAAAGTGTGGTTGTTACACTCATTTACAGATGAGGATACTGAGGCTCAAAAAGACAAATGAATTTTACCTAATTTACAGTTAGTAAATTTCAGACCTGCAGTAGCTTCATTAGCCAAACTCTGATCCTTTGAGAATAACATCCTACTGTGGTCAAGGGATCGTGGAAGGAACTGAGACCAAGTCCCAATTCCAAGGGATCCTTTACTTTCCAGAAAAAGTCAGATGATATATCTCCTCATGCTGTACAAATCTTCAGTTCGTCTCCCATTTCTGGAGGATTCTCCATGATACTCCAGCAAGTAATGTGTCCTTGTCCTCCGGTCCTTGGCACACCATCACCAATCTCATGTGCAGATAAAATACCAACATGGGAAGCTAGATGGAACAGAACTTAAGGCTCTACGCCTTACAGCAGCAGGTCAACTAGCCTGCCTTCTCTCCCACCAATTAATTCAGCAGAAGTTCAGCCTTATCCACAATCCAGAACATCCAGGCTGATAAAAATGTCCACTTTTCAAACTTGGTATCTTCCTCCACTCATGTCTACCACCTGAGTGACTTTCGTCAGTGACTACCCAGCATGAGGTTTTTATAGTTCATCTGTATCGAATCCTATATATCTATATTTTCTTAAAAATCCAGATTCTAGGACCTTATTACACATCTACTGAATCATAATCTCCAGGATTGGGGCTCAGAGCCATGCACTTTTAATAAATCTCCCAGCTAATTCTCATGTCTATGTAGTTTGGGAAACACTGACTAAGCAGAACTTGGTGAACCTCAGCACCTTCAGGCCAGGTTTAATGATGTAAAAACCTGCTACACAGCTTTTCAAACAGGCTCTTCATGTGAGATGTCAAGTCTATCTCTCCTTGTCTATGTTCTGATACTAGATATAACCCACTAGAAGCAGATTCTGGAACCCTGATCAACTGGTACCATTATGAACTGTATAGTTCTCTTCCTACAATTGCTTCTGTATGCAAAGGATACTCTGAACTCAATTCCATCCAATGCATGGCCTGGAAAGATCCATGCATGATTCTTACACTTGCATTTACTGTATTTGGAGATCTTGAATACACCATCTAGGCCCGATAATTCCAGTATAAATGGAAGAATTGTGGACCTACAAATAGAAACAGTCACATACCTATCCAACAAACTCAACCTGATGCCCGCATCCCCGGTCACACCTTGCAGAATACCACACCCTATTTAGAGCACAGAAGGTAGAAAAGCATGATGATAAAACAACAGTAAAAGCAAAGCAATGCTTTTAGGAAAGCCATATAAAATCCATTAGCTATGAGCAAGAATTTTGGTGGCAGGAGTCAACGAATCACCTTGTAAGCAAGCAAACACTCATTTTCCCTCTTTTCCTAAGTGTACTCTTTAGATGGTGGTCTTGGGTCTATCTGGGCAATGATACTTAGGACTCATTATTTATGAGGCAGTCTTCCTTTAAAACCACTTCCCAGTTCCATGACAGAACTTACTCCCTGCTTGTGCACTCCCAGCCCTGACCCTTTATCACATCTTCTTCCACCTAGATCCCCTGTCATGCTGGACATATTATTAATGCTGATTATCTGTAATATCTAGAATTTCCTTCTGAGTGGTAGAAATCACTTTAAATGGCTTTGTGTTTGAACAGCTGGGTTAAGTGGCACTATAAGGGTTTGAAAGAAATAGTACGTCTCCCCAAATTGCCTATGTCCCCAAGGGAATAGCTTAATTACCTTGTAGAATTAGCCTATTATCTAATCAATCTTTACCAAAACCCTACATTAGGTTTAAAACTCAGATAGATACAATAATTCAAGTGAAAAAAAAAAAGGTTAGAGATCTTACCTACATCAGTCCTTTCTCTAAAAAACAAATCACAATCTTAGTGGCATCAGTGAAGCGCTTCAAAGTAACACTTTACAAATCACCTTGATTCTACCTTCCTTCTCAGATAAACTCTGGCATTTTTCTTCTACCTGTCTCAAACAAACTCACCCATTCCTCTCTTGTTTCCTGTCTGCCCTTTATAGTCTATGGGCAGCTTCTGTCTAAATATGTACTTTGCATTCTATTGTACTCTATAAACATTTTATGTTAATAATTGTTTAACATGAAATGTAGCTGCATAAAGATATTAAGAATAAGGAAAGATGTAAAATGAAATCAAGCTAAATAGAGAAGAGGGCATCGAATAAAAGTCTGGGGCTATAACACGAAAATAAAAGTACATTTATTTATTTATTTATTTGAGATAAAGGGTCTCCCGGGCTGGAGTGTACCCAGGCTGGAGTGTAGCCTTCTCACTGCAGCCTCTACTTCCTGGGCTCAAGGAATCCTGCTGCCTCAGCCCACCAAGTATTATAGCTGGATCTATATATAGTCATGTACCACCATGCCCAGCTAATTTTTGTATTTTTCTTGTAGGATGAGCTTTCACCTTGTTGCACAGGCTGGTCTCGAATTCCTGAGCTCAAGCAATCTGCCCTCCTCGGCCTCCCAAAGTGCTGGGATTACAGTCAGGAGCCACTGCTCCAGGTCCCATTAATTTCTATATTACTGAATTATACAGTTATTTGAGGGCTATAGTATTTCCTTAGTCCCTTTAAGTATGTCCATCGTGAAAAGGAATATATAAGATGTATATTTTCCACAATCATGATTTTTTTATGAATGAGAAAGATTATGTTAAGATAATCTAGCACTCTTCTATTCAAACCACCATTCTATTATTAAGGAGTTTTTTCATATAGCATCCTATGAAGGTAGTTACAGGATCTACTATAGCTCTTATTTTCCTTTCCCTGCATGCTGTTTCCATATGTGCTGAAACTGAAGTACCAGGATCATACAGTTTCTTACTTTTGCCGGTCTCAATTTTTTATTTTAATTAATTAATTAATTAATTAATTTTTGAGACGGAGTCTCTCTCTTTCACCAGGCTGGAGTGCAGTGGTACGATCTCGGCTCACTGCAACCTCTGCCTCCCGGGTTCAAGCAATTATCCCACCTCAGCCTCCCAAGTAGCTGGGACTACAGGCACCTGCCACCATGACCAGCTTTGTATTTTTAGTAGAGATGGGGTTCCACTATGTTGGCCAAGATAATCTGGATCTCTTGATTTCGTGATCCACCTGCCTCAGGCTCCCAAAGTGCTGGGATTACAGGAGTGAGCCACTGTGCCATGCCAGCCTCAATTTTTTAAAATTTGGGACTCATTTTACGTTCATATACCAAGGCAGTCATTTCATTCATTCAAAGAATAAAAGGATTTTAAAATAATTTATTGACACCTCAGTTGGGGGAAAATGTAGAATTCACATTGATAGTTAATGTATGGATTAAATATATTACTATTTAACAGAACAGAGGTATTTTATATGAGATATGTTGTTCAAATTTATGAAAAGAGAAAAGCCACAGACTATTTAGGCTGACAAGCCTTTCAGATACTATCTATCTAGGTTTATCAAATGAAAAGCATACACTGTATTAACCCAGTGGAACGTAATTATTGAATTTTTCACCAAAATGGATAGATACATTAGCAACAAGAAAGATGAGGAAATAACCTTAGCAAGATATGTGCAAAATTTACATGAAGAAAAATTTAAAATGATCAAAGAAGACAAAATGGAAAGCTTCTTACGTTTAAGAGTTAAATTAAATGTAATTCCAATTACAATACTAATGGAGTTTTATTTGTAATAAGATACATTGCTTTTACATGGGAAAAATTAGGCCATTCAGAAAACCTCTGAGAAATAATAGCAACAAGAGGGAACTAATTTATTTTTAAAAATTCAACTTTTATTTTAGGTACAGTAGGTACATGTGCAAATTTGTTACATGTACCGGATAGTGAGAATAATACCCAACAGGAAGTTTTTCAGTCATTCCTTACCTCCTCCCCACTCTTGTAGTCTGCAGTAACTGTTGTTCCCATGTTCATGTCCATGTGTGCTCTGTGTTTAGCTCCTACTTGTAATGGAGAATATGTATTTGGTTTTCTGTTCCTATGTGTATTAGTCAGGGTTCTCCAGAGGAAGAGAAGTAATAGGATAGATATATAAAGGAGTTTATTAAGTACTAACTTACACGATCACAAGGTCCCATGTAGGCTGTCTGCAAGCCTGAGGAGAAAAGAGAGCCAGTCTGAGTCTCAAAACTGAAGAACTTGGAGTCCGATGTTCGAGGGCAGGAAACATCCAGCATGGGAGAACGATGTAGGCTGGAAGGCTAGGCCAGCCTCACCTTTCACGTTTTTCTGCCTTCGCCTTTCAGGTTTTTCTACCTGCTTTATATTTGCTGGCAGCTGATTAGATTGTGCCCACCAGATTAAGGGCAAGTCGGCCTTCCCCAGGCCACTGACTCAAATGTTAATCTCCTTTGGCAACACCCTCACAGATGCACCTAGGATTAATACTTTGTATCCTTCAATCCAATCAAGTTGACACTCAGTATTAACCATCACATTGTGATAATTATCTTAGGATTACGGTCTCCAGCTCCATCTGTGTTGCTGTGAAGGATATGATTTCATTCTTTTTCGTGGCTGTGTAGTATTCAATGGTACATATGTACCTCATTTATCTAATCCACCACTAGTGGGCACCTAGGTTGATTCTGTGTCTTTGCTATTGTGAATTGCATGATAGTGAACATATGCATGCATGTGTCTTTATGGTAGAATGATTTATATTTCTTTGGATATGTACCCAATAATGGGCTTGCTAGGTCAAATGGTTTTAAGTTCTTTGAGAAATCTCCAAACTGCTTTTCACAGTGGCTTAACTAATTTACATTCCCACCAACAGTATATAAGCATTCCCTTTTCTCTACAACCTCACCAGCATGTATTGTTTGTTGACTTTTTAAAAATAGCCGTTCTGACTAGTGTGAGATAGTATCTCACTGTGGTTTTGATTTGCATTTCTCTGATAATTAGTGATGCTGAGCATTTTTTCATGTCTGTTGGCCACTTATATGTCTTCTCTTAAGAAGTGTGTATTCATGTTCTTTGCCCATTTTTAAATGGGGTTATTTGCTTTTTGCTTGTTAAGTTCCTTATAGATTCTAGATATTAGACCTTATGGATTCTGGATATAAACTATGCATTCAGATGCATAGTTGGTGAATATTTTCTCCCATCCTGTAGGTTGCATATTTTACTCTGTTGATAGTTTATTTTGCTGTACAGAAGCTCTTTTGTTTAACTGGGTCCCACTTGTTAATTTTTGTTTTTGTTACAGTTGCTCTAGGGGACTTAGTCAATAATTGTTTGCCAAGGCTGACGCTGAGAAGGATCAGCCTTGGCAAATAATTATTGGCTAAGGCCCCCCAAACCAAGGAAAACCTATTTTGCAGGTTTTCTTCTAGGGTTTTATAGTTTCAGGTCTTACACTTAAATCTTTATTCCATCTTGAGTTAGTTTTATACATAGTGAAAGGTAAGGGTCCAGTTTCATTCTTCTGCATATGGCTAGCCAGTTATTCCATCACTATTTATTAGAGAGTCCTTTCCTCATTGATTGCCTTTGTTGGTCTTGTCAAAGATCAGAAAGTGATAAGTGTGCAGCATTATTTCTTAAGTTTTTTGTTTTGTTCCAGTGCTCTATGTGTCTATTTTTGTAGCAGTATCATGCTGTTTAGGTTACTATATATAGCCTTCTAGCGTGGTTTGAAGTCAGGTAGCATGATGCCTCCAGCTTTGTTCTTTTTAAGTTTTATAGACATTAAAATATATTATGAAGCTATAATAATTTAAAAGTGTGGTACTAATTCGTGAACAGAAAGATCAATGAAATGCAATAGAAAGTTTCCCGAATAGACACAAGCACATATAGGAATTTCATATATTTTGAAGACATTTTAAATTAGAAGAAATGGATTACAAAAAGATTTCTACCAAGAAAGAAAAATAAAATTGAATTCCCAATACTTTGCATCAAAATAAAACCAGATGGCTGAAATATTTAAGTATTAAAAATGAAACAGTTATAAAACTAGAAGAAACCAGAGGTGCTTTTGTTGTTATTGTCACAATGAGGAAGGCCTGTCAAAGAGTGACACAAATCCTCAAAGCCACCACCCTCTCCTACACACACACATACACACACAAAAGAGGGAATGACTTCAACTGCATAAAACTCAGAATCTTTTGTTGGGAAAATGCTACCAGAAACGAAATTGAAAGACAAATGGGAACCTGAGAAAAATGTTTACATCAAATATTACAGACAAAAGCCTACTTCTTTTGACCAAAAAAAAAAAAATCTTAATGTCTATAATCCAGTCTACCATCAATGTATGAGGTGCCATTTTTCCTACAGCCTCATTAACAGAGTCTGGTGTCAAACTTTTACATTTTTGCCAACCTGATAGGTAAGAAATTTTATTTCAGTGCGTTTCTCTTTTTATGAGGAGACTGAACATATAAACTTACAGAATAGACGTAAATGTTGATTCCTTTACTCAAGGGCCATGCCGCATATTTGCATTATAAAACAGCACAGCTGAAGGGTTTTCTGCTACAGTAGCAGTACTTGCTACAGTAAACTACTTACCTCGTGAAAAATACACTGTTCTCTCTCAGCATCAAGAGAAACAAATGACTGAAGAAGTTTGATGATTAATCTGTAATTTAAAAACAATTTTTTTCTCTTTGAAAAATTGTGGAGGTGAACTTTGGAGGTAGAAATATAATTTGCCATAGTTTTTAAGAGCTATTGTGTGGGGTTATACAATAGACGTTGAAGTTATTCTTCACAAGGTAATAAAAATGGTTAGAAAATAGGGGGAAAACTAGGAATGGAGAGGGCAGTAGTTTTGTAAGCATTCTTAAGGAAATAGCAGCTTCTATGCAGCAGCTTTTCCTGAACTAGGAATTTGTGAAATACGTTTTATACCAAATGCTGCCCACACTGTTCATCCTGAGCAAAGGGAAGGTCTTATTCAGTCAACCCTCAACATTCCTTGGTGCTATGGCAACTGAGTTTTCACATCTACTGAGAAAATTGTAAATACCAAGACAAAGCTATTTGACAAATGTGAGTTGGAGACAGAATTGCAAACCTTCTCTCACTTAGTCCACGTCTACCCCATATATCAGAGTAGTTCCAAGGATTGTTTGAAATAAAAATTTCTCTTTAAGTATGAACAGTGATAACTTCAAGAATTTCATATTTTCTCATTTTACATTAGTCATGCATCCTCAGACAACTTTAATGTTATATAAGCAGAGAGAGTTTGAGATTCTGTAGAATAACTTTTCTAACCACAATCAAACACTTCAATTCATATATATTATTCTCAAGTAAATATTCCACTTAAGCAATGCTGCATTCTTCAAAAGAGAATACATTTTTGATGTAATGACTAAAATCAGGAGAGGAATTTATCTTTACACTATTCAAATAGACTTTTGTAAGTAACTGAGAGTGATAACAAGTCAAGATTTTTGAAGGTTTTTTTTTCCCCGAATTGTTAAATGTACCTTTTAGAAGTCTATTCATTTTTGTTATATGCCAGGGTGACTGTATATATATGTACATTTACAATACACCTTTTAAAAAAGGGAGGGCCATTATAACATGACAAATGTATACTGTCATTAAATTAGAAATAATTAAAATAAATATAGAAGGTAGAGAGTATGCTAACATGATTTTCCTCCTAGTCATGTGTGATTGGCTATTAAAAATCAGCCTTTGAACTTGCTGGAAGCAAAGACGAAAAGGAAAATAAAATTACACTACATTTTTTCTTTTAATATATTTTATAATGAGATATAATTTACCTACAAAGAATTGCACACATATTAAGTGTTACAATCCCAAGATATTTGTCAAATGCATATACACATGCAACCCAATATTCCTATCAAGATATAGAACATAACGGTCACCTCAGAAAATGTCCCCTTCCAGTCAATTCTTTGTTGCTCTGATTTCTTTCGACATAGATTTGCTTGTTCTAGAACTTCATATAAATGGTACCCAATATTTCCTTTTTTTTTTTTTTTTTTTTTAAGACAGAGTCTCACCCTGTCCCCTAGGCTGGAGTGCAGTGGCACAGTCTCAGTTCACTGCAACCTCTGCTTCCCAGGTTAAAGTGATTCTCGTGCCTCAGCCTCCTGAGTAGCTGGGATTATAGGCAAGTGCCACCACACCCAGCTAATTTTTGTATTTTTAGTAGAGATGGGGTTTCACCATATTGGCCAACTGGCCTCGAACTCCTGAACTCAAGTGATCTGCCTGCCTTGGCCTTCTGAAGTGATGGGATTACAGGCATGAGAATATGAACTCTTTTTGTACAGACTTTTTTTTTGGCTTCTTTCAGCATGAGGTTTTGAGATTAATCCAGTGTTGTATGTATCAGTAGTTTATTCCTTTATAGTGCTGGGTAGTATTCCACTGTATTAATGTAAAATATTTTTAAGATCATTAGTTTTGTTTTGTTTTGTTTTGTTTTGTCTGACTGGAAGCTCTACTAGTCCTTAAAGAGAATTATATAATTACTCTTATCCTAACATATATTTGGTACCTGAATCATCAATATTATGAGTGATATGTTCAACAATTAACAAACACAGAAACCATCTTCAATTGCCTTTTTCTTTTATTAATCTTTAATAACTACCTACTCTATCACCCTGTATTGATCAACACACATCTGGTTGTGTAACTTTCCAATTTAGTTTTAGAAGAATATAGGAGAGTTTAGGATCTGTTAATGACTGTCTTTCAACTGGCAGGGTATATGTGGGCCCAGAAGGGAGAGCAGATGTTGGGATCTTAGATTATAGGTAGAGATGCAATAGACTTGACTAGATTCAGTGTAATAATCTAGTTATATTCCACTGATTAATTTTGTTGGTCTGTATGGCACTAGCTTGGCTGCATTTTTAAAAACAGATCCTCAACTGTGCTTTGTGTTTTAGAGAGTTTGCTGCAAGGAACCCAGCAGATTTCTAGTTATGAACCTGACACCAAAAGCCTAATTGTCAATTAAGTTCCAGCTGCATCCAACAACTAATGATGGAATACTGTGCTCTTTAAATAAAGATTATTTGACATCTATGATTCTTATATGATAACATATTTTATATATATAGATATATATATGTATAATCTTTTAGTGTATTATATATTAAATGTCAGATATATCCTCCAGTGAGTCTAAAACATTATAAATCATGACCTTCCTTTTCTGCTACTTGTAAGGTACATGGATGTGCTTTGGTCAAGAATTAGGCCAAGGCAGACATCCAGGCCTGCATGACTGTGAGTTTAGGCGCAGGTGCATACTCCACTTGTTATATAACCTGTTTGTATAAACTCATACTCAGCTCTGAGCCACTATTGTCTGTAGAAGGTATAACTGCCCTGCTGACACTGTATGGGCTCTTGGGCATGGTTTGACATGGCGCTCGCACCCAGAGAAAGAGAGAGAACCAAAGCTGTCTGTCTTGTAGACAGACAGGAGGAAGCCAGAACACAGCTCAGCTCACTTGTGCCTAGAGAGAAAGAGTTAAGCTGCTGACCCTGAAGGGAGAGCTGAGCTGGCTGTTGAGAGGAACCTCAGAGCTGGAGCAGACAGCTGAGATAAAGGTGACCAGTGTGAGAGAGCTAGTGTAGGTAAGGCGCTAATGAGAGAGCTGCTGAATAAAGCTACATTTTACCTGCTTATGGCCCCCCAAGTGTTCTCTCAGCTATCTGCCCATTCCTCCACCCACTCCCCTCAAACCTCAGCGGGGGCTGGAACCTAACCCTAAACCTAACACTAGTCAAATAGACTATTAAAAAATAAGCTGGAGAAGTTGAAAGACTTATAGGCAGTGAAGATGTACCACTCACTTTGTTTCAGGAAATTAAGTTTGAAGGTTATGTTTCAGTATGTTTCTAGTGTGATTTTTGGTTTGCAGTTTTATAGGAAGATAAATGCTTTTCATTTTACTTTTATATAGTTACTTTTTTAATGATAAAGAATTGACCTTATTTATGGCATGAATTTAATTTTAATGTGTCCTGTTTTTCCCCAGGGATATGCCTTTAAATTCTTTTAAACAATTGAAAGAATCTCAAACTTACAGAAAAATTGCAAGTACAGCATAAAGGACTTTTAAAAATCTGAACCATTTGAGAATAAGTTTCTGATGTGATGCCCCATCATTACCTCTAAATATTTAGTGTGTATTTCCTACACATGAGGGCATCTTCACATAATCACATGAACAAACATAAACATTGCATAATCACAAAACAAACATAAACATTGAGAAAGTACCATTAGTTCCTTATTATTATCTAATTCTCAGACCCCCTTCAAGTTTCACCAATTGTCCCAATAATGTCCTTTAGAGCTTAGCCTTGAGTCATTGTGTCTCTTTAGTGTTCTTCAATCTGGGACTTCCTTCTTATTTGCCTGACTTTCATGATTTTAATACTTGCTGATTACAGGCCAGTTAGTTTTATAAAATGCCCTCTGTTTAGGTGTGTCTGATGGTGCTTTTTTATTCAATTCAGGTTATACATCTATGGTAGTAATAGCACAGAATTGATGCTGTGTATTTCTCATTGCATTCCATCAGGCGACACGTGGTACTGATTTGCTCCTTACAGACATTCTAGATTACTAAGGTTCCCCCTCCTAATGCCTACCTTCTTGGCTCAATCTCATAGCTTTTGGATTAAACTATGCAAGGAAGAAGAGGAAGAGAAAGGTGCAAGACTATATTATTGTAAAACCTTCTAGTGACTCTAATGTATTCAGGGGTTCAGACTGGTAAATAGGAATCATTGCTTTAGGACAATGTTCAGCTAACAAAATGTTGTCATTTAAAACCACAAATGAACATATGCTCCATGGAATCTAGCAGCTTCTTTCATAGATATCTAGATTCATATACTTGTAAAACGAAAAACTTAGATGAATGTAAAAATTCATCTTGAAATTTCTTCATTTCTTAAAATCAACAATTATACATATATATGTTTATTTGTTTATGGAGTATGTGATGTTCTGACATATTCATATGTTGTGAAATGATTAAAGTGAATTAACTTTTCTATATCTCAATGAATATTAGTAATTAGAATTCTGCTACACAGTTAAACTTTATTTGAGTGTTTTGCCAAACTAATAATCACAACTATCATGCAATATCCTGCTTAGAGGCATACTGCTTGAGAAATAATATTCCAAAGTAAAAAAAAAAAAACAAAAAAACTCACCATTTATTCCAAAGCTTGTGCTAATGGTAATTAATGAACAAAAGAGGATTGTTTTTCAGATTACACTTAGGTTTTTCAGCTTTATTAAGGTATAATTGACATACAATGAACTATATATTCAAATGTACAACTTAATGAGTTTTGGCATTTGGATACGCCTGTGAAACCATTGCTACATTCAAGATAACGAATATAACTGTAACCCCCAAAAGTTTCTTTGTGCTGTTTTGTAATCCCTCCCAAAGGTCCCTCTTCCCCATTCTCATCCCAGGCAGCCACTGATCTACCGTTGTCACTGTAGAGTGGTTTTGCATTTTCTAGAAATTTATGTAAATGATATACAGTAAGTACTTTTTAAAAATTTGACTTCATTTAGCATAGCTATTTTGACTTTGAATATATTAATAGTTCATTCCTTTTTATTGCTGAGCTGTATTTCATTGTCTCATTGAAGGACATTAGAATTGTTTCTAGCTTTTCACTATTACAAATAAAGCTGCCATAAACATCTGTGTTTAAATCTTTGTATGGAAACATGCTTTCATTTCTCTTGGGTGAATATCCATCCAGTAATGGAATGGCTCAGCTGCATAAGCGTATGTTTAACTTTTTTTAAAAAGTTGCCAAACTATTTTCTAGGGTGGTTATACTATTTTACATTCCAACCAGCAGTATATCAGGGTTCAAACACTGTAAAAGTCAGTTTTTAAAGTTTTAGCCTTTCTAGTGATAGTACAATGATATCTCATAGTTTTAATATGTATTTTTCTAATGGTTAATGATGTTGAGTATCTTTTCATGTAGTTATTTGGCATCCGCATGTCTTTTTATTTTGCAAAAGTTCCTCTTCAAATCTTATGCCCACTTTTTTAATGGATCATTTTATCTTATCACTATTAAAGTTGTAAATGTTCAACATCCCTGATATGAGTTTACCTATGTAAGAAACCTTCATATGTACCCCAAAGCTAAAAAAAAGCTAGAAAAAGTTGCAAATTTTTTTATATATTATGTATTTAAGTTCTCAGTTGGATATATGATTTGCAGAAAACATTAAAGTCTTTAATTTTGGTGAAGTGCAGATTTTTATGTCATATTTTTAAAATCTTTGCCAAATCCAAGGTCTCTAGGATTTCATCTTATGTTTTCTTCTAAAATTTTAATATTTATGTCTATGTTCCCTTTTGAATTAATTACATATGGTGTGAGGTAAGGGTCAAGATTCCTTTTTAAAAAAAATATGGTCACTCATATGCATTTGACTCAACATAAAACATCTTGACAGTATCTTAGGGCTTCTAAGTAATACAATAAAAGTGATTCTTTTGGTTTATGTGTTTGGATGGTACGGAGAAGCTGAATAACTAGAACAAGGTTACATTATGCCTGACTTATGCTGGCAGCCACTGTCCAATTTCTATAGAACAGGCCTCCACATCATGAAGTTATGATCTCAAAGAAATTCTAGCACCTACATAGATTATTTCAGCCACAAAGTTAAGGGATTACTGATTTCTTCTCTCTTGCCTGAATTAGATTGCTTGGCTCTCCCAGGAGGCCCTTTCCCCAGTAGAGGTTGACTAATATCAAAAACTACACTCTTTTTTGCCAAAATGATACAAAGACAGAAGCCATGAGATAGACAAAGGAGAAAGAAAGGGAAAGGTGAGCACATTACTGTTCTTTCAGAGGCAGCTGGGCTTCATGTTCATTATCCTCATTTTTACCATCAGCCCAGAAAGCTGCAGAAGGTTATGTCAAATATTCTATATTTCTTTCAATTTTCTACTTTCAAAGTATATCAATATTTCTAGAAGGCTATAAGTAATTACAGAAAATACAGTGTTCAAAACATTTTTTCATGTATAAATTCAGTATATCTGTATGTAGGACAAACTACATTATTTTATGTTTCACTTAAAAGTAATTACCAGAGGAGTTACGTTACATTGGATTTCCATGGAACATTTAAAATATGATTTCATTTTTATTTATTCACATATACGTAATTTTTCAGGAATGTAGATGGCACTTGCACACTGTGTGGGTTCCCACATGACACATACTCCACACTCATACACATCACACTATATCAGTTTTGACATTTCTAAGAGGGGAAAAAATATATGCCAGACAAGTAGATTTATTTCATATAACTACTAGTGCTGCTTCCACAGGAAAGAGCAGACTAATTTTTTGAAGGTACACAAAACAAAACAAAGACAAAAGCAGTTGGAAAAGATACATTTGAAGTTATACCTTTTGTAGTCCATTGCCCTATTTCACTGCCAGAATAACTTGCTATTTGCTCTCCAAGCACACTTTTGACTATTGACTCCAGACACAAACTTATTTGTATATTCTACAAATTATTATTACAAAACATATAAACATTCTTGGTAAGTATGCATACAGTATCATATAAAATATTTTTCATTTATATTGAGCTTTTCACGTTTTTGCTTCATTGTGAGCCTTGGTGGCAGAAGGTTGTGCAAGCAGTAAGTTCCATGTAACTGATCACTCTATCAGGGTGTTCCTGAGTGGATTGATAAAATGGGATGTTGAGTGGAAATTTTCCAATTCTATTATCATTCCAGAGAACAGTACAATTTAAGAAGGGTGTTTTAAATCAAGAGGGAGACTTTTTAAGTAAAACCTAAGATGCATATACATTACTAATAGGATTTTTCCGTTTTCTCAAAATGTGAGAATGGATGACTTATAACCTCTCCTACTGTTAAAATAAATTTGGAAGTTGCTCTCTGTGCTATTCACAACAACCATGGTCACCCAAAAGGAAGATGACAAAGAGCAAATGAATAAAAACAAAATTTCCCTAATGTGGAAAGATACAGACCATGATCAGACAGGGAATAATATTTGTTTTGTTTCCAGCCATTTGGAATGATCTAACATTTCTTACCTCTGGCTCTACCACTCGGGAGATCATCCAGAACTCTTTGAAATGAAACCCACTGTCATATTTTCCACTGTGGCAGAGTCTCCATATAAGCATTTTGTTTCGCATTTAAATATATATTGCTTTTAAATTTTAAATGGTGATATGAGTGAGAACCCTTGGCAGCAAAGAAATTAGATTGGGAAGTCAAGTGAAAAAACAAGAGCAGGCAAATGTATTAAAATAGGGCTTTTCATTTGTTGTGTCTCAAACACCCATCTGGAATCCAGAATGAGTCCACAGATGCCTGATACCCAGTCTGATGTTTTCTTGAATGTTAACATCTTTCAAGATGGTTAGCTAGTCATGCTTTCGAAACATACTGTTTGGGAACAAAGAGAAAACAAATATGGATTAATCAAAAGAAAAACTAAAAACTGAAAATCTTTCCATCTAGGTTACACGCCGGAATTAGACCCAGAGAAGAAAAATGAGGACTCAGTTCTCTACCATAGCAGGTTCTTTCCCATAATATTAAGAAATAGACAACTTTATGTCTCTATTTTTAAAAGCAAAATATCAACCCATTTTGTCACCATAGAGATGTGTGTAAAGATAAATCTATACATGTTGCATATCTTATATGTAAAGTTAAATGCTGTACTAGGTACTTTGTACATACTTTGTATAAAGGAATACAAATTCCATGTATTCTTTTGGTTTATGTGTGTGCACGCACGTGCATGCATGCATTGTCATTGAAAAATGACATCCAGACTAAAAATGATCAAAGAAAAGTAAGCAAAGTTATAAACAGACTTAAGAATATAACAGATGGGGAAAATGTGAGGGAAGTGAATTCATTTTGCCAAAAAATGATATTGAGTGGGTCAGGAAATGAAAACATTACCTAAATACTTATATACTGAGCACAAACAGGGGCAAATCAGGCCCTCAAAGACTCATAGCTCCCACCGAAGTCAAATGTCTGCACTGAGAGCCCTGTACATGCATTTGAAGACATAACTCAGTCTTAAACAGCTAATAGGTGAGAAAGAAGTATTTATTTTGGATAGAAATACCCAAACAAGTGAGCTTTAAAGGAGGAAAACTCATTTTTGAAGTAAAAGAGAACCTTTTTCACCATGAGGAAAAACAGATGCTGAAACAGCTTGTCTGATGAGGTAATCACAGTAAACAGTAGACATGCTTAATTTAAGATTAATTAGGTCAGTAGAAATTCTATGTTGATTTAGTCAGGGACTAAGTGCAAACACCTAAGGATCTTTTCCATCAAATCACCTCCAGTGTGATAATATTAATCATTATTATATTATAATAATCTTGAGACATCTCTCTTACCGAATATACTTTTTTTCCCACTTACAATGAATTTACATGATTGTGGACTTAAAAAAAAGCATAGCGATAAAATGAATTTTGAAATGCATTCCTTGTTTGAGTAGATTTCAGGATGCCAGTAGATAAACTAGTACCTTCAACACAATAATTCACCCCAATGTGAGAAGATCCTTTGCTTTGAAGGGAAAACTTTCCTCCTGAAAACCAGAAGTGTACTAAGCAGATTGATGGTCTGTTTTATTGTTACTGGGTCCAGACCCTTGGGTCGGAGCAAGAATTCCAGATCAATCCAAGCTCTAAAAGCTAGTTTTCATCTGAGTACCTAAAAAGTAGTCAACAATCATCTCCATTTTGCATTTCCTGTAGTTTATGAGATAAGAAAATTCCCTGAAGGTCTTAGCAGACCTGACTAAAGATCCAAAGAAGGTTTGCTCCAACTGATTAAAGGAGAAACATATTGGTGAATTCATTGACATTTTTATTTTATGCATTTAGCATGCAATATCCTCTCCAAATAGATAAGATAGAAGCTACCGTTTTTACAATATGTAATGTTAGGCAGCATAATTTTTTTTCTAATGCAAGGGAATGTGAAAAATAACTGTGCCAAGAATGAATTATTTGAATTTAACACACAAGCTGCAGCTGGTCACTAAAACCCATTTGTGACTTGTCAAAGAAATGTGTGGAATCACAGAATCATTTTCCCAGTTGTAGCTGCCTGTTCCTGTGTGCAAAAATTGAACGTTTCTGATTGGTTTTATGGAAGAGAAAGACTTCTCTGAGAAGCTCCTTTTAGCACTCAAAATACCAAAATAATACATTTGAAAACCATAACACTTACATTTAGATATCACTTTTCCTTTACACTTCAAACTGCTTTTACAAGTTTCAAACTACTTCTACAGCAATATTAGCCTTCTTTAACAGATGAGGAAGTTGGGGGTGTAGCAAATTTCCTCAAGATTCTTTAGTCAGTCTGATATAGCCCTAGGAACATTAAGACACAAGCCTCCTCTGTTTCTACTGAAACACAATGAGCCCAATGTTTACAGACTCAGAATATCTCAAGACCCATACACTGCTTACCCACTAGCCAGACATCCACCGAATCAGTCTGAACCAAATGGCCATTCATTTCAGGTATGACCACCTTGCCAGTCTTCTAGCCTAAATGGGATTCCTTATCTACTTTCCTCCACTGCCACACTTACTTACACTCTTTTTTCCGGGGTTGTTAGAAGTCATTATATCATACATATTGGCTTCACCAGGAATTCACGTCATCTGACATCAGCTGCTACTTAAAAATATTTTACTTATCTCTTATTGACTGCTAATGGTACTTCAGAACAGCTGAGTCAGAATCATCAAGGGGTAGACCCAGGTGATTCTGATTTGTCGCCCAGGTAAGTACAAGTCTGAAGCAAATCCCTCTGACGGCCATTCCAAAGCTGTTCTACTCCCCTCACATTTCCAGTCTCACTCAGTGCTTCTGATAATGTCTAGTACCATGCTTTACCCATAGAAGAAACTCAAGAACTTCCCACATGGATAAATGGAAGGCTAGATGAACAAATTAATATTATAGGTTTGGTAAACTTTTATCAGTAGACACATTTTATGTTCCAATATTGATTACTTTTATGAGCAGCCACAAATTAGCAACTCACCGGTATGTTTTGTCTCTTGAAACGTTGGCCCAAATGGCATTTTCAAACATTCAAATAAACCGGCAACATTTAAACATTGAGAAATTTCACAAAAAATTTGCATTTCCTACTTTTCTTGGGAAAAAAGCACGAAGATTTGGCAATGCCAAGTTCACATTCCAGTATAATTGCCCTTAGCTGAAGTAGGCTATGTTATCCCATTTAAATAGGACATGTCCTTTCCCTTTTATTATAGTCCTCTTTTTTTTTCCTATTGTCTCTTCACTACCAAGCCGGAGGGCCATTTGCCAGTTTTATCAAATCTCTGCATCTGTTTTTCTTTTAACTAGTGACTTCATTTTTTAATTACCTGCATGGTTCATAATATAATTTGATTTTGACTTGATTTATATCTTGTTAAAATGTACAGACAGAAGACTTGCATTCTAGTTTCACCTTGATACCAACTAGCTTTGTAATCTTAGCCAAGTTATTTTATTTTTCTTGGCCAATTTGTTCATCATTAAAAGGAGAAGGCTAGACTTTATCAATAGTTTTCAAACTTTAGCATCAATCACTTTGTTTCCACAAAATAGGAATCCAGCGACTATTGAAATCATCATCAAAACCTAATGGAAATTCTATATTTCTGTGATGTCTGTTTATAGCAACTCAGAATTGTACCAATTGATTGTTATCAGGCATGGCTGTTATTGCTAAAAATGAGGACAAAGTAAAATTTTTTTTTTTATAAATGCAGTTTTCTGGGATCCCACAGAAATCTCTAATAGAGAAATATTTGGGAACCATCTTTAGCATTCATTCTTGGAGTAAATTCTGTGTTAGCATTGATTAACCCTCTTCACTCTCTTGCCTATATGGGACAAACTGAAATAGTACTTAATTTTTTTCCTTCCCCAATGTTATTCTTTCTGAACGTTTTGCTTTCAATTTTTCCCTCTAATGATTAGTTCATAAGCAATTAGCATCTTCTCATGTGCAAAGTATGAAGGATCAAATGAGATCACTTAGCTGGCGTCCCTTGAACGTGATAAAGCTCAGCGAATGCAAGGTACAACGATTAATATTATTGACAACCACCTCAGTAAGGAGGGAGGGCATAGGTATGGCAAATATTTTTACTCTGAACTGCCGTCTAGTTCTTACTCCATTACACCTTTGCTATTTCAATAAAAACTCTTAGGAGTATCTGTAAGAATCTTCCAGGCAGAATTTTTGAGTGTCCACAGAGACAATCTAATAGAGTTAGGTAAAGTGCACACACCCATCTGGGGAAGGTGGGGCAAGGAAGTATTGGCTTTAGTATGACTGAGTATCTTCAAGTTTAAGTCAAACTGAATTCAACACACAAGCTTGGCAAAAAGGCTCGGGGAAGATTCAACACCCCTATCCAACCTCCTTTCCCATACTCCAACATCAGGTCTGGTATTAGGAGGTGTCGGGGAAAGGGATGCCATCGTTCATAGCAAGGACCAGTGGGGATCTGCCTCACATAAGGTAGCATTTGCCTTTCTCTCCAGCCCTCAGAGCCATTTTCTGCATTACACCTGAGAATACACAACTTCTAATATTGCTCCTTCCTGACACTAGCTGGTTTTCTTGCTAGAGAGTCTGTTGAACTTATTTCAGATTGATGTCATCTACCTGTCATCTACTAATTAAGGAAACATTCCCTGAAACTGAACCCTGAGGCAACAGCAGACATGACACTGGCTAGACCTTTCAAAGTAGCCAAGTGAAAATTTAAACACTGGGTAGTGGGACTTGCTGGAAGGAGACTTTCTAAGGGGCTCTGCCTCGTGGCGGGGAGGGCAAGATCAGGGAGCCAATCTAATGCAAAACGATTATCTCACTGGCAACACTGAAGAACAAAGACATCGCTGGCTTGTCAGTCGACTTTGCTTCTGACACAGCAAATCTTCCTATGAATTTCTAAGGATCTGGCTGATTTTTTATGAAAGCTGAAATGGGATATGAAGTGAGTAAAATTAGAGATTTTTAAGCCACTCCAGAGGCTCCTGTGGAGGAAAAACTCAAAGCAAACTTCACATGAGGTGTGAATATAGCTTCTTTTTTTATGCAGTACATTCTGGAATATAGAAATATCATTAGAGAGTATCATGAAATTAGTTCTTAAGCAGATTTTCATTCACTGTGGTACAAATGTGAATCCTCAGATCTGGAAATACTGAGTACTAGATCTAACTCTGCTACTATTCAGGTGTGTAGTATTTTTTTGAGCCACTTAATCTTGCTTTTTTATCTGTAACACAAAGAAATCTATTAAGGCTATATTATATTTTGTCTGTTAGGTTTTATCTTATTACTCATTAGAAGCAGTTACTGGTGTGCTGCATTGAGAAGGACTCTGAAGATGCAACCAAGACTGCAGGAATGATTGTAGTAATCGATTAGCAATGTCTGTCATGGGCAAGGGTATTGGATGAAGGAAATAATGGCAGGTATAATTCATTCAGTCTTTTGAATAAATGAACTAGAATTTATTTGTATTCTAAAATTTTGGCATTTTTTAACTTGGTATATTTCATATGTACAGTATAGGGGTCTATTTGGAAATACTCATCATTTGAATAACTGGAATTAAATATTTCCTGCCAAAAGCCCATGCTCCAGAAAGGGAAAAAGGACATGAAGCAGTACATGAAAATATTTTATTGGGAAAACTATTCCACACGCATCTCTTTTATGATGACTTCATTTTCTCCTTTTGAAAAATCAGGAGGTAAGCAGCACATTTCATCCCAGAAAAAAGAAAATAGAGTTACTGTTAAGATTTTCAATCAATAGTACATTGTTGCAACTAAGCACCACTCTATTAAAAAAAAAAAAGAATTAGGGGAAGAAGTTATTCTGCAAATCACCGCTAAACACAATATTGCTAGAATAGCAAAATCTGAAAACAAAAATCTCACATTTACAAATACTTTAAAAAATGCTAAACACTTCACACAATGATGATGATGATAGTTCACATTTATTGAACATTTATTATGTGCCAGGCTCAATTCTAATGCATTTCATGTATTAGCTCATTTCATAACTTTCAATGACTTTTAAGAAAGTTGATGTACAAATCTCATTTAATTTTTATGACAATTCTAAGAAATAGGCATTATGGTTATCCCATTTACAGCTAAGAAAACTGAGAAAACAAGACATTAAGTGACTTGCCTAGTGTCACGCCAATGTATTTGGCACCTGAATCCAGATGGTCTCAGTCTAGAAGCCCTGTGCCTAAAGCATTATACAGGAGCAAAATCCTCCCAAAATAAGCCTAAGAGATCTGAACCTGAGAACCTGGGCAAAGTCATAGTACGAAGCCAGGGCTATTTAGGGAGCTATGAGTGAGTGAATCTCTACTAACAAGGCTTTTGCTTCCTCCTGGCTTCAGCTAAAAGCTCTGCGGGGTCGCTGTTGGCTGCTGACTTGGCCCATGGTCAGGATCTCACAGTTGGAAGATCCTCTTATAGGATTTGGAGGATTAGGCATTTTAAACATTAAATGGAAGTTCAGACAGTCAATCTACTCTGTCGTCAGGGGACAAAAATTATAATGTGATCAAATTGTAATCAAAATGTGAGTTCTGTAATGGTATATTTCTCTTTGTTTTGACTTCCTATGGACTAGGCATGAGCTCAGCTGCCAGTTTGTCCAGCTACATTTTGAGATGTGATTACTTATGCCCCAGTGAATACTATCGTGTTTGTCTCCACTGTTTTAGAAGGCTTTTCTACTATATCCAAGCTCCTTTTACTATGTCCAAAGTCTTTTGCTGGGCTCGCACCTATAATTTGAAGATAATGATGAAACAGTGAGTCCTTCTAGAGAAATAGAATTTATATCCTTCTCTGCTCCAAAAGTCATACACCACGCCAGCACTGGAAACAATGAGTTTATTAAAGTCATTTAACTTGGTATGACCTAATTTCTTCCTTTTAAATGTGAGGAGCCAGGCAAGCCAAAGAATAATGTCTTGGCTCTTCAGAGCTATCCTCCATAAGACACCGACTTGGAGTCTTTAGTAGGCATTGAAAAAAAAAAGTGTATTTATTTGAGGAGAAATATTTAGTAATAGTTTGATAAGAGGTAAGAAGAAACCCATGTCCTTTTTAAATAAGATTCCATTTTTAAATAGATCTTCAGAAAATTTTTACCTGCTAGCTTAAAAAAAAACAATATCCTAGTCATACACAATAAAATGTTCATATAAGGAGCTACCAAATCAGATATTTATCTCTTTGGGAAAGCACATGGCCTCACGGTGAGTTTTCCTGTAGGATAAGAGGTTGCATCAGTCAGGATCCCAGCAAGAAACAAATGATGTGCCCAGATTGGGTCATTTAATGTGAGTTTAATAAAAGGCAGATTTACAAATATGTGGAGAAGGATTTGGAAAAACCGCAAGAAATAATGCTGTATTCTGGGGCTGTATCAGTGTAAGAGGTACTTACATCTCAAGATCTGAAGGGCAAGGGAGGAAAGCACTTACCAGAAGAAAGGCAGGGCAGTAGGGGAAGAAGGAGGGGATGGGAGAGTGAGAATGAGAAGGAAAGAAAACAAGAAGCCAAGTGTCAGGGACTCTAAGGCTTTGGTCTAGGTCCACCCTCAACAACCCCACAGAATGGGAGCCAGGAGAGTAAACAGTCATTTCTCATTCTCTTTTCTTCTTCTGATTTGCTACCCATGTTTCCTGGTGGGCCACCGAACAGAAACTAGAGGGCAAGGGATGCCATTCATAGAGCCAGCTTCCCAGGTTACAAAGCAGAGCGAAGAACAGAACCAAGAAATAGAAAAGAGGGGTAAAGGAAAGGTGTCCATCACAGAGATTTTTCCTTATGCTACCTTGTAGTCCCCAAGGCAGGAGAAGAAGGGAAAGAAATCGTGGGCAAAAGGAAAGATAGGAGGAAGGAAAGCAAGCCCTTGATGCTAAGATGTTCTCCTCCATTATTGTGGCTTTACATAACCACCAGTCAGAGAGGCCTAGAGTGCCCCTCTTCTTCCCTCATGAAGTCCTCATAAGGCGCCTCTCTTGTGCCTTATTTCCAGGGGGCTCTGCTCATAGCTGGCGATGACAAACGTCATTTCCTCCTCCCCACTGAAGTGATCTATGATTTAAAATTTTAGGCCTCCCAAAGCCACGTGACTTTCATTAGGGCACTCTTGGGATGCAAAAATTCTTTTATTATTATTATTATTATTATTATTATTATTATTATTATACTTTAAGTTCTAGGGTACATGTGCACAACGTGCAGGTTTATTACATATGTATACATGCGCCATGATGGTGTGCTGCACCCATTAACTCGTCATTTACATTAGGTATATCTCCTAATGCTATCCTTCCCCTCTCCTCCCACCCCATGACAGGCCCTGGTGTGTGATATTCCCCTTCCTGTGTCCAAGTGTTCTCATTGTTCAATTCCCACCTATGAGTGAGAACATGCGGTGTTTGGTTTTTTGTCCTTGCGATAGTTTGCTCAGAATGATGGTTTCCAGCTTCATCCATGTCCCTACAAAGGACATGAACTCATCCTTTTTTATGGCTGCATAGTATTCCATGGTGTATATGTGCCACATTTTCTTAATCCAGTCTATCATTGATGGACATTTGGGTTGATTCCAGCTCTTTGCTATTGTGAATAGTGCCGCAATAAACATACGTGTGCATGTGTCTTTATAGCAGCATGATTTATAATCCTTTGGGTATATACCCAGTAATGGGATGGCTGGGTCAAATGGTATTTCTAGTTCTAGATCCTTGAGGAATCGCCACACTGTCTTCCACAATGTTTGAACTAGTTTACAGTCCCACCAACAGTGTAAAAGTGTTCCTATTTCTCCACATCCTCTCCAGCACCTGTTGTTTCCTGACTTTTTAATGATCACCATTCTAACTGGTATGAGATAGTATCTCATTGTGGTTTTGATTTGCATTTCTCTGACGGCCAGTGAGGAGGAGTATTTTTTCATGTGTCTGTTGGCTGAGGATGCAATAATTCTTAAGACTCAAAAAGATATATTAATAAATCTAACCACTTATTATATACCCTTAAGAATAGAGAGACTCCATTTTGATACCCACATATTTGGTTGATCAATATCATGCTGGGAGGTGTGGGACACATAGACAAAGGATTTGGAATATTTTTAGGAGGTGACTTTGGTGGAATTGCAAGTGGGGGAGGTATTTTTCTGCAGAGGGTTCCCTTGGAATCACACGTCATGAAATCTTCCTGGTTTACTCCCTCCTTGGGCAAACCCTCTGGGTTCCTCACTTTGTGATCTCATTGTAAGTCAGTCAACAAGGATTTATTTTGTAGCTTTTATGTGTCAATCACTGCTCTAGGCCCTCTAGAGCTATGTGATACTCAGATAATTCAGAGAAAAAGCTAATCTGTATTCACATTTCTGGAGAATAATCAAATTTCAGTTCCCTTTGATATTCAAGATCTTTTAAGAGATTCCTCTTCTTTCCTCATGGAGACTGAATTCACTACTCATTCTGTGTTTCACAATTCGATGCCCATAAATGTATGTTTAGGCTTCCTAGATTTTGCTCATTCTATGTGGGCTAGGACTACACAATCCCGTTTAAACAATATACCTTTCCATGACAAAATCACTACTAGAAACCATTATTAAGATCTAAGAATGAAATTAAACTTGATTTTGTCTGCTCCAGCATTAGAAGAAACATAACTCTAGTGATATGTAAAAGTAGCATAAATCTGGAACTCTAAATTCAGGGGATTTTGTTTGAAGAAAAAAAAAAATAAGAGGAAATCAAGTGTATTAACCAACTTAATCAAATAGGACAATTTCATTTTGTTCATTTAAGAGACTTCAAGGCCAGAGATAATGTGGAATATCCTTAGGATAGCCACAGTTGAGTTATTTGGGCAGGTACAGAAATCAATGGAAGGATATTCCAGACGGCACTAGCAATGTGAGTATCAGCACAGGTACATGATGTACTTCCCATACAAAGAACTTGTGGGGGGTACAGGAAGATGTGACTAGAAAGGAAGTTTGGATCCTGATGGTAGAGAAACCTCAGTGTTTGCTGTGGAGTATGATAGATAATGGGAAACCTTTGAAGGTTTGTTTTATTTATATAGATAGATAGATAGATATAGATATATATTATATATAAAACAGGGGAATGAAGAAATCAAAACTATAGAGATGTAGTTATCTTGAGTTGGCAACAGCAAGGTGACTTGGCTGATTGTAAAGACTTGGGTGAAATGGCTGACTGTGGGATTCAAGCTATGTAAGTAAAGTGAAAGAAGGTTCAATAAGTACTCAGCAATCCTACTGATTATTTAAACAGAGATAAAGCCTTGCAAATGTCAGAGAAGAACATTGCGAGGGATGGAATCTGCAACCCATTTTGGAGTTTTTTTGTTGTTGATTTTGAGACAGTGTCTCACCCAGCCTGGAGTGCAGTGACGTGATCTCGGCTCACTACAGCCATGCTCTCCAAAGCTCAAGCAATCCTCAGTCTCCTGAGTACCTGGGACTAAAAGCAATCATCACCATGCCCACCTAATGCAATCTATTTTGGCTCTAAGGCCCAATACTATGTCCTCCCATAAACAAATAATTAAGAAAGGCAAAAGGGAACAGGATACAGACAAGTCGGCAGGCATATTGGAAGGATAACAGCTGGAAGGATCCTGGCTCCTAAACATTAGGCATGTAATGAATGTATGCAAGCAAGAGAGAAGCAGAGAGAGAGAGAGGAGGTATGCAACTCCATGTGGTTCTGTGTAAAACACAGTCCAGGGGGAGGTAATTTCACTGTCACTCCCACTGTCACTCAGTCTTCCTCTAGCCAAAATTAGTAGTCATTTACCTGCCCAACATCCCAAGTTTCAATGAAACTGAAGCATACATTACCTTTTTGATGTTGAAAAGAGACTGATAATCCATGTCAAGATTTGATCCAAAGTGCAAAGCAATGCTGATGAGAAACATAAAGGCCAAATTACTTCATCTCCGTGGTGTCACTGCCCAACCCTGTGGCCCTTGTGATCCCCATCATGTTGCTGCAACTTACAGCACTGAATCAAGCACTGCCAGATTTGAATGGTAGAGTGGATAATAGGCTTAACTTTTCTAGCAGATCTTACCCTTTAGCTATACTCAAGAAATGATTTGCTTTCAACTCACTAGAATATAAACTCCTTAAGAAAAGAGAATTGCCTGCTTGTTTCACGCCATATCTCTGGTACATGGTAGGCGCTTGGTAATCATTTGATGGATATTTAGTGAATAAAATATAGATAAACCTTTAAATATATAATTTGTACTTAATATATTAAAAATGCATATTATATAAATATGATATGTTACACATATATACACACATGCCCTGGTAGTTACTGTTCACTAGAACCAAACTTTAACAAGAAATTCAAACCACATATTAAAAATAGGTAACTATCTAAAAATAAGAATTAAATTTTCGGCATTTAGATTTATGTACTTCCAGAAAAAAAGCAAATTTAATTATCTTTTATAGTTAGGGCTAATTTTTTAACCTTGAGATCGTTAGGATTTCACTGATAATCTCATTTTCCCAACTGGTGCAAAAAAGTTTTCATTGTAAAATCTTGATAGGAAGACTGAACAAAGAATAAATTGGGGACAGGGAGAAGAGAGTCCAACACAAGAACTGAGCATGCCTTTTTGCCTCCTGCATTCCCTCCCTGTGGAAGAGCATTTCCATCTACCAACCTGCCTACATTGAGAAACTGAGTCTCACTTGATCTCTCAGCCCCACATACTGACTGCTATGAAAGCTTGGCAGTTGCACAGTAATTTTTAAGTTGTGCCCAGTGGTGTGAGTGGGAGGTAGGGAACAGGAGCCTCCCTTCAACAAAACACACCTGCTCTGGTTTGGGATAAGATTGCAAGGTTTTGTTTGATCAAAAGAGTTCCAGTGCGTCAGCAATCATTTGGAAACTTTAAAACTTATCTTTTATATCCATTACATCTTCTCCACCCCTACTGCCTTTGCTCTAGTTCAGACCTTATTCTATGTGCAGCTTCTCTGGTCTTCCTCCTTCCTTTTCCTGACCTGTTCATTTAGTAGAAAACTCTTTTTATTCTTTTTTCCTAAAATTTCTTTAATGGTTCCCGTTTGAAACTAGATAAAATACTAGGTACCTTTACGTAGGAAGCAAAACCTTCGTAAACTCTTTCTTGTTTCTTCAACTGTTTGGCTTCTTCTGCTACCAATCCCCCACTACCTCATCTCTGCTCCTAAAATACAGGTTGTGTATCCCTTGTCTGAAATGGTTGGAACCAGAAATGTTTCAGATTTTGAATTTTTTCAAATTTTGGAATATTTGCATAGCGAGATATCTTTGAGGATGAAACTTAAGTCTAAACACAAAATTCATTTATGTTTTAGATACACCTCATACATATAGCCTGAAGGTTTCATACAGTATTTTTAATAATTTGGGGCATAAAACAAAGTTTTGACTGTGTTTTGTGCGTAAAACAAGGTTTCAACTCTGACCTGTCATATGAGGTCAAGTGTGGAATTTTCCACTTGTGGTATCATGATGGCACTCAAAAAGTTTCAAATTGGAACATTTCAAATTTTGTATTTTGGGATTACAGATGCTCAACCTGTGATACGTTATTCTACAGTGACACAGAATTCATATCCCTGTGCCTTTGCGTATACCAATACCTCTGACTGGAATATCTGTCATTTTGTGTGTTTTTACTTTTCTTTAAAATACAAATGAAACCTTTGTAGCAATTTAAGATGGCCAAGAGATTACTACATTTTTGAAATCATGCAGAAATACCTATTTTCAGAAATCCTATATTCTCATCTCTCTGTTCTTTTAAGCAAAGTTTATTTTTACTCAATGCTCTCAACGTGTGTATTTTATGCTGATCAGCTTTTAGGAAAATACAAAGATAATATAAGTTTGCACCTTCAGGAGTTTGCAGTCAAATTTTGGATCTGATTTATACAATTTATCAGGCCTTTCCAGGCCTATCTTGTCCACTAATCTACAAATTCAGGAAGATCTCTCATATTGAAGCCCGGGCAATTGGCCAGTCTGTCACTTGCCAAGTGACACACTCCTTAGTGTTAAGTGATTTGTGATTGAATATATGCTGCCTCATTTAATTATCATAATTCTTACATAAGAATATGTAATTATTATTAAATATTGAAGGTCCTTTTCTGAAAAATAGAAGCTTTTGGTATTAAAACAGAAAATGTAAATGTGTTCAGACTGTGGGTTTAGAATGATTAAGAAACAAAACAAGGCAGTCAAAACTAGTAGTGTAGTGGATAAACCTGTGGAATTTACAGTTATTATATCAGCAATAAATATGTGATGCCTGTTTCCATGAGGTTATTTAGTTTATTTGGGGTACCACGCCTGCAATTATGTACCTGCTACCAGAGAGAGGTATGAGATGAATAAACACACTCTAGCAAATTATACTAAAAAACCCACTATGGTTCACTGGTATCAATATTTTAATAAACAATTATTATCTTATTTGTATATTAACATTTCTAAAAGTACTATTTGAAGCTAGATATGAATACAATATCTAGGCACAGATCAACACCTTCTATCTAATCGTTGTTAAGTGTTTATTAACCTTTTTTTGCAACTTATGAGGCATCACTTTCTGGAGTCAAAGGCCCTCCTGGTCTCAGTACAGATTTAGAAAAATATTGAATTTTGTGGATTTGTGGTGCATGCTTTATAATATTTACAGTGCATGTTCTTTCCTTATGCAGTGTGATGTGGCTTTGTTTCACCTTGCTCCATCTACCTGTGATTTCTTTTTTTTTTTTTTTTTGGGAAAAAATACATTTTTATTTTCAATAACCTCTAATAGACATTTAATATTTCTTCTGATTATGAATGTGGGCAAGAAGCCACAGTGGTAGTAGTAGGCTTTCAATTTTGTCTCCAAAAAAAGGATATTTTTAGCTTACATTACCATTGTTGCATATATTTCTTTTTTTTTTTTAAGAAGTTGTCCCCAGGTATCTTTTATTCTTTTTTTTTTTTTATACTTTAAGTTTTAGGGTACATGTGCACATTGTGCAGGTTAGTTATATATGTATACATGTGCCATGCTGGTGCACTGCACCCACTAACTCGTCATCTAGCATTAGGTATATCTCCCAGTGCTATCCCTCCCCCCTCCCCCTACCCCACCACAGTCCCCAGAGTGTGATGTTCCCCTTCCTGTGTCCATGTGATCTCATTGTTCAATTCCCACCTATGAGTGAGAATATGCGGTGTTTGGTTTTTTGTTCTTGCGATAGTTTACTGAGAATGATGATTTCCAATTTCATCCATGTCCCTACAAAGGACATGAACTCATCATTTTTTATGGCTGCATAGTATTCCATGGTGTATATGTGCCACATTTTCTTAATCCAGTCTATCATTGTTGGACATTTGGGTTGGTTCCAAGTCTTTGCTATTGTGAATAATGCCGCAATAAACATACATGTGCATGTGTCTTTATAGCAGCATGATTTATAATCCTCTGGGTATATACCCAGTAATGGGATGGCTGGGTCAAATGGTATTTCTAGTTCTAGATCCCTGAGGAATCGCCACACTGACTTCTACAATGGTTGAACTAGTTTACAGTCCCACCAACAGTGTAAAAGTGTTCCTCTTTCTCCACATCCTCTCCAGCACCTGTTGTTTCCTGACTTTTTAATGATTGCCATTCTAACTGGTGTGAGATGATATTTCATTGTGGTTTTGATTTGCATTTCTCTGATGGCCAGTGATGATGAGCATTTTTTCATGTGTTTTTTGGCTGCATAAATGTCTTCTTTTGAGAAGTGTCTGTTCATGTCCTTTGCCCACTTTTTGATGGGGTTGTTTGTTTTTTTCTTGTAAATTTGTTTGAGTTCATTGTAGATTCTGGATATTAGCCCTTTGTCAGATGAGTAGGTTGTGAAAATTTTCTCCCATTTTGTAGGTTGCCTGTTCACTCTGATGGTAGTTTCTTTTGCTGTGCAGAAGCTCTTGAGTTTAATTAGATCCCATTTGTCAATTTTGGCTTTTGTTGCCATTGCTTTTGGTGTTTTAGACATGAAGTCCTTGCCCATGCCTATGTCCTGAATGGCAATGCCTAAGTTTTCTTCTAGGGTTTTTATGGTTTTAGGTCTAATGTTTAAGTCTTTAATCCATCTTGAATTGATTTTTGTATAAGGTGTAAGGAAGGGATCCAGTTTCAGCTTTCTACATATGGCTAGCCAGTTTTCCCAGCACCATTTATTAAATAGGGAATCCTTTCCCCATTGCTTGTTTTTGTCAGGTTTGTCAAAGATCAGATAGTTGTAGATATGCGGCGTTATTTCTGAGGGCTCTGTTCTGTTCCATTGATCTATATCTCTGTTTTGGTACCAGTACCATGCTGTTTTGGTTACTGTAGCCTTGTAGTATAGTTTGAAGTCAGGTAGTGTGATGCCTCCAGCTTTGTTCTTTTGGCTTAGGATTGACTTGGCGATGCGGGCTCTTTTTTGGTTCCATATGAACTTTAAAGTAGTTTTTTCCAATTCTGTGAAGAAAGTCATTGGTAGCTTGATGGGGATGGCATTGAATCTATAAATTACCTTGGGCAGTATGGCCATTTTCACAGTATTGATTCTTCCTACCCATGAGCATGGAATGTTCTTCCATTTGTATCCTCTTTTATTTCCTTGAGCAGTGGTTTGTAGTTCTCCTTGAAGAGGTCCTTCACATCCCTTGTAAGTTGGATTCCTAGGTATTTTATTCTCTTTGAAGCAATTGTGAATGGGAGTTCACTCATGATTTGGCTCTCTGTTTGTCTGTTGTTGGTGTATAAGAATGCTTGTGATTTTTGTACATTGATTTTGTATCCTGAGACTTTGCTGAAGTTGCTTATCAGCTTAAGGAGCTTTTGGGCTGAGACAATGGGGTTTTCTAGATATACAATCATGTCATCTGCAAACAGGGACAATTTGACTTCCTCTTTTCCTAATTGAATACCCTTTATTTCCTTCTCCTGCCTGATTGCCCTGGCCAGAACTTCCAACAGTATGTTGAATAGGAGTGGTGAGAGAGGGCATCCCTGTCTTGTGCCAGTTTTCAAAGGGAATGCTTCCAGTTTTTGCCCATTCAGTATGATATTGGCTGTGGGTTTGTCATAGATAGCTCTTATTATTTTGAAATACATCCCATCAATACCTAATTTATTGAGAGTTTTTAGCATGAAGGGTTGTTGAATTTTGTCAAAGGCCTTTTCTGCATCTATTGAGATAATCATGTAGTTTTTGTCTTTGGCTCTGTTTATATGCTGGATTACATTTATTGATTTACATATATTGAACCAGCCTTGCATCCCAGGGATGAAGCCCACTTGATCATGGTGGATAAGCTTTTTGATGTGCTGCTGGATTCGTTTTGCCAGTATTTTATTGAGGATTTTTACATCAATGTTCATCAAGGATATTGGTCTAAAATTCTCTCTTTTTCTTGTGTCTCTGCCTGGCTTTGGTATCAGAATGATGCTGGCCTCATAAAATGAGTTAGGGAGGATTCCCTCTTTTTCTATTGATTGGAATAGTTTCAGAAGGAATGGTACCAGTTCCTCCTTGTACCTCTGGTAGAATTCGGCTGTGAATCCATCTGGTCCTGGACTCTTTTTAGTTGGTAAGCTATTGATTATTGCCACAATTTCAGATCCTGTTATTGGTCTATTCAGAGATTCAACTTCTTCCTGGTTTAGTCTTGGGAGAGTGTATGTGTCAAGGAATTTATCCATTACTTCTAGATTTTCTAATTTATTTGTGTAGAGGTGTTTGTAGTATTCTCTGATGGTAGTTTGTATTTCTGTGGGATCGGTGGTGATATCCCCTTTATCATTTTTTATTGCATCTATTTGATTCTTCTCTCTTTTTTTCTTTATTAGTCTTGCTAGCGGTCTATCTATTTTGTTGATCCTTTCAAAAAACCAACTCCTGGATTCATTAATTTTTTGAAGAGGTTTTGTGTCTCTATTTCCTTCAGTTCTGCTCTGATCTTAGTTATTTCTTGCCTTCTGCTAGCTTTTGAATGTGTTTGCTCTGGCTTTTCTAGTTCTTTTAATTGAGATGTTAGGGTGTCCCTTTTGGATCTTTCCTGCTTTCTCTTGTGGGCATTTAGTGCTATAAATTTCCTTCTACACACTGCTTTGAATGCGTCCCAGAGATTCTGGTATGTTGTGTCTTTGTTCTCGTTGGTTTCAAAGAACATCTTTATTTCTGCCTTCATTTCGTTATGTACCCAGTAGTCATTCAGGAGCAGGTTGTTCAGTTTCCATGTAGTTGAGCGGTTTTGAGTGAGATTCTTAATCCTGAGTTCTAGTTTGATTGCACTGTGGTCTGAGAGATAGTTTGTTATAATTTCTGTTCTTTTACATTTGCTGAGGAGAGCTTTACTTCCAAGTATGTGGTCAATTTTGGAATAGGTGTGGTGTGGTGCTGAAAAAAATGTATATTCTGTTGATTTGGGGTGGAGAGTTCTGTAGATGTCTATTAGGTCTGCTTGGTGCAGAGCTGAGTTCAATTCCTGGGTATCCTTGTTGACTTTCTGTCTCGTTGATCTGTCTAATGTTGACAGTGGGGTGTTAAAGTCTCCCATTATTAATGTGTGGGAGTCTAAGTCTCTTTGTAGGTCACTCAGGACTTGCTTTGCGAATCTTGGTGCTCCTGTATTGGGTGCATATATATTTAGGATAGTTAGCTCTTCTTGTTGAATTGATCCCTTTACCATTATGTAATGGCCTTCTTTGTCTCTTTTGATCTTTGTTGGTTTAAAGTCTGTTTTATCAGAGACTAGGATTGCAACCCCTGCCTTTTTTTGTTTTCCATTTGCTTGGTAGATCTTCCTCCATCCTTTCATTTTGAGTCTATGTGTGTCTCTGCACGTGAGATGGGTTTCCTGAATTCAGCACACTGATGGGCCTTGACTCTTTATGCAATTTGCCCGTCTGTGTCTTTTAATTGGAGCATTTAGTCCATTTACATTTAAAGTTAATATTGTTATGTGTGAATTTGATCCTGTCATGATGATGTTAGCTGGTTATTTTGCTCGTTAGTTGATGCAGTTTCTTCCTAGTCTCCATGGTCTTTACATTTTGGCATAATTTTGCAGTGGCTGGTACCGGTTGTTCCTTTCCATGTTTAGCGCTTCCTTCAGGAGCTCTTTGAGGGCAGGCCTGGTGGTGACAAAATCTCTCAGCATTTGCTTGTCTGTAAAGTATTTTATTTGTCCTTCACTTATGAAGCTTAGTTTGGCTGGATATGAAATTCTGGGTTGAAAATTCTTTTCTTTAAGAATGTTGAATATTGGCCCCCACTCTCTTCTGGCTTGTAGGGTTTCTGCCGAGACATCTGCTGTTAGTCTGATGGGCTTCCCTTTGAGGGTAACCCGACCTTTCTCTCTGGCTGCCCTTAACATTTTTTCCTTCATTTCAACTTTGGTGAATCTGACAATTATGTGTCTTGGAGTTGCTCTTCTCAAGGAGTATCTTTGTGGCGTTCTCTGTATTTCCTGAATCTGAATGTTGGCCTGCCTTGCTAGATTGGGGAAGTTCTCCTGGATAATATCCTGCAGAGTGTTTTCCAACTTGGTTCCATTCTCCCCATCACTTTCAGGTACACCAATCAGACGTAGATTTGGTCTTTTCACATAGTCCCATATTTCTTGGAGGCTTTGTTCATTTCTTTTTATTCTTTTTTCTCTAAACTTCCCTTCTTGCTTCATTTCATTCATTTCATCTTCCATCACTGATACCCTTTCTTCCAGTTGATCGCATCAGCTCCTGAGGCTTCTGCATTCTTCACGTAGTTCTCAAGCCTTGGTTTTCAGCTCCATCAGCTCCTTTAAGCACTTCTCTGTATTGGTTATTCTAGTTATACATTCTTCTCAATTCTTTTCAAAGTTTTCAACTTCTTTGCCTTTGGTTTGAATGTCCTCCCGTAGCTCAGAGTAATTTGATCGTCTGAAGCCTTCTTCTCTCAGCTCGTCAAAGTCATTCTCCGTCCAGCTTTGTTCCGTTGCTGGTGAGGAACCTCCAAAGGAACGCAGTTCCTCACCAGCAATGTGATTTCTTTTTGCATTCAGCTTTGGTCTATGCTGCATTATAGAGTCATTTTGTGGTGCATTGGGAATGTAACTGCCCTGGTGCTCTGCCACTTGGCTGGCTGCACTCTTCCTCCTCTTTCAGTTCAGCTGCCTTATCTAGCAGGACCCAGGCGTGACTACTGACTTCTTTTCTTCCTTGTGGCTATAACTGCCTAAAATTCCTAAGAAAATGCAAAAAGTGTGACAGAAACTAGCTTATGACCTAAAGCTAGTTTTCTTTCTACTACCAGTTGCTTTGTAACGCACTTTTGATGTTGCCCTTCATAACCAGATGAATGACTGGCATAATTGTACTTAGGTATGAAACATATTAGATAATTTGCCCTCTCTCCTAGCCCCATTTTAAGGAAACGTTGCCTCTTACCCTTTATTACTATCAGCCCAAGCCTGTATCAGTAGATTTCTCAAATCATAGAAAGAGTAAAATTGTAGAAATACCTATTATAGAAATAATGAGATAGGACGTGTTTGGGGGAATTTTTGTTTGTCTCTTCATCGTCCAG